>NW_025791779.1:0-151242 GCF_000001405.40 Homo sapiens | reverse complement strand
CTAGAGGACATAGAGGGACTAAAGTCCCCGCAAATATTTTTTCTTACCCAGTTTTAGTCTTGAGTGCTGTCCAGAGGTACTTGCTTCTCCAGAAGGGGACACTGGTTTCTGAGCCTGCTCTGAGCCACTTGCATTCAGTAAATTTGCTGTTCTTGACAATTCTTTCAAACTAGATTCATTACTGAATGACGCCTTGGGCATTCCCTTTAATGTGAGAGTCACATATTAAAAGACAACACGAATTTCTTTAGTTCTTTACGGCTTGCAACATGTTTTCATATGCATGACTCTAGTTAATGTTCAAACCTTGAAAATACCTAGAGTGTCTAAATACTAGAGGGAAAAGAGAAGGTCTAAGTGAGTAGTGAATCTGGGACTCTAACCCATGTCTTAAGGCTCTTTCCTTCAACTTTCTCTAAAATGTTCTATGTAAGTCAAAGGGAAGGAGGAGGAATACTTGGGAAGACTAGCTGGAGAATCAACAAGATCTGTGAAAGAAGGGGGTAAGGGCTTACAAAGAGAAGGAGGGAATCTTCCATAAACTAGTAGACTTTTGATAGAAGGGGAAATGTAGAGAAGCACAGAGGGACAAAGCACTTCTGGAAAATGAGGTAATAGAGCAGTAAGATTGGGAACAGAACAAAGAGACGATTGGCAAAAATATATCTAGACAACCAAGAAAATGATGTCAAAGTTGCATGTTGCCATATCCTGGAAAGAATATTTGGCTTTGGAATTAGATTAATTAGTTCCTGTACCACTTCTGCTTGTCTGCTTGAATAAGGGTGTATTGTTAGCTAATTCTCTTTAGTTTCCTGATCCAGAAATTGGCATACATGCTTTTTTTTTTTTTTTTTTTTTTTGAGAAGGAGTCTCGCTCTGTTGCCTAGGCTGAAGTGCAGTGGCACGATATCAGCTCACTGCAGCCTCCACCTCCCAAGTTCAAGAGATTCTTCTACCTCAGCCTCCCGAGAAGCTAGGATTACAGGCATGTGCCACCATACCCAGCTAAATTTTGTATATTTATTAGAGACGGGGTTTCACTAGGTTGGCCAGGATGGTCTCGAACTCCTCACCTCAAGTGATCCACCCACCTCAACCTCCCAAAGTGCTGGGATTATAGGCATGAGCCCCAACACTCAGACCATCAGACCATGCTAATTCTTTTTTTTTTTTTATTTTTTTGAGAGGGAGTCTCACTTTGTTGCCTAAGCTGGAGTGCAGTGGCACGATCTCAGCTCACTGCAGCCTTCACCTCCCGGGTTCAAGCGATTCTCCTGCTTCAGGCTCCTGAGTAGTTGGGATTACAGGTGTCCACCACCATGCCCAGCTGATTTTTGTAGTTTTAGTAGAGATGGGGTTTCACCATGTTGGCCAGGCTGGTCTCGAACTCCTGACTTCGGGTGATCTGCCCACCTCCACCTCTCAAAGTGCTGGGATTACAGGTGTAAGCCACTGCCCCTGGCGCTAATTCTTAATATTGTAGTGAACATGAAAGATAATAATGTTCACCAAAGTGTTTTTTGAACTACTTAATACAGTATGAATGTGAGATTAATAATTTTTCTCACCAGGTGCAGTGGCTCACACCTGTAATCCCAGCACTTTGGGAGGCCAAGGCAGGCGGATCACCTCAGGTCAGGAGTTTTGAGACCAGTCTAGCCAACCCCATATCTACAAAAAATACAAAAAACTAGCCAGGTGTGGTGGCGGGTGCCTGTAATCCCAGCTACTTGGGAGGCTGAGGCAGGAGAACAACTTGAACCCAGGAGGGGGAGGTTAAAGTGAGCCGAGATCACTCCACTGCACTCCAGCCTGGGTGACAAGAGTGAAACTCTGTCTCAACAAAAGAAAAGAATTTTTCTCACAGACTGGGTGCAATGGCTCACATATGTAATCCCAGCACTTTGGGAGGCCAAGGTGGGAGGATGGCTTGAGCCCAGTAGTTCAAGACCAGCCTGAGCTACATGGCAAAACCCTGTCTCTACAAAAAACGTAAAAATCAGCTGGGCATGGTGGTGCATGCCTATGGTCCCAGCTACTCAGGAGGCTGAGGCAGGAGGATCGCACTAATCTAGGAGATGGAGGCTGCAGTAAGCCGAGATTGAGTCATTGCACTCCAGCCTGGGCGAAAGAGCCAGACTCTGTCTCAAATCACCCCACCACCACCCAGAAAAATAACAAACAAATGAAAATTATCTCATAGTCCTGATAACATCTCTACAGTTGAAATCTAACTCAAAGATATTTTCAGCATTCCTTGACCCTGTTACTTATAGTTTAATTCATAAACTTGGAATCAGTCATTCAGAAAACACTAAGGAGGCTCTCAGAGGCCCTGATCTGGGCTTGGGAGTTCTGAGAAGAATCAGATATGGACCAGACTCCTGAAGAGCTCACAATGAAGAGGCAGCAGGCAGGCTAAACAAATAATTCCAAACAACATGACAGTTCCCTAATTGGAGCCCAGAGGAAGGAGCTGTTACTGCCTTCTGTAGGAATGAGAATTTGAAATCAGTTCCAGAAGAATATATTTTTACTTAATAGGATGTAACCTATATGAAGTCTTAAACCATTTTCTTATTTGTTGTTTCTCAGTCTTCAAAGCTGAAACTCCTCAGGGCTGGAAGCTGCTTCCTCTGATCAGAATGGGTCCCTTATGAGGGTAGGGACCCTATCTCCTTCTGGGACCAAACACAGTATGAACTGTCTATTTACTTGGAAGCTTCCCTTAATCAGAGTGTTTCAGTGCAAATCTCACTTTACCATAACAGAGAAAAACTGAGGTTAAAAAGTCAGTTGGACGAATGATGTAACACATATGGGTAAGACAGCATAAACTTTATAAAACTATGAAACTTTTAATGATCTTGTGTTAATGATCTTGTAAGTGCTTTAGAGAAGGAGTTTTGGATTAGACTGCACCAACACTGAATGTGATCCCAGGGATATAACTGAACATTTTTATACCTCAGTTTTCTCATCTGTAAAATGGCTATAGTTACAACATCTACTTAATAGGTACTATATATAAAGTTGAATAGGAACTATATGTAAAGTTTATTCATGTAAAATGCTTAAAATAGAGTCTGAAAATACTGAGAAAATAACACCATGGTAGCAATTATTGTTGCTGTTCTTATTAACTCTTAAAATAATGATGATGTCAGACACTGTGCTAAAGAGATCAGGAAAAGAAGGCATTAGTTCCTATGATAGTCTGTACATTCTCCTCCTCTTACCTGTGTTTGGATCCATGAGGAAGGTTTCTTGTCAATAGGATTTGGGAAATACTTACCTTCTGGTGTTTACGCTGTTCCACTCTTAAGGCCATCCAAGGAGGTTTGACTAAAAGGTGATGAGAAATCAGTGGTTTGGTTGGTAAATGTTTCCAAACACTAGAGATTCTCTCTTCTATTTTTTATTTTTATTTTTTATTTTTGAGACGGAGTCTCCCTCTGTCGCCCAGGCTGGAGTGCAGTGGCTCAATCTCCACTCACTGCAACCTCCCTCTCCCGGATTCAAGCGATTCTCCTGCCTCAGCCTTGTGAGTTGTTGGGAACTACAGGTGTACGCCACCACACCCGGCTAATTTTTGTATTTTTAGTAGAGATAGGGTTTCTCCATGTTGGCGATGCTGGTCTCAAACTCCTGACCTCAGGTGATCCACCTGCGTCTGCCTCCCAAAGTGCTGAGATTACAGGCGTGAGCCACCATGCCGGGCCTAACTCTGGAGTTTCTCATTAGAGACAGAGAATTCTGAATCAGAGAGTGATGATTCCAAGTATTATCCAAAGGCGATTTGGAAATGTTTTCTGAAGTATCATTAAGGCCTATGTTTCTATTAAAGGCATTGCTAATTTTCTTAAGACTTAAAAAAATAGATAAAACTTCATCTTTGTTTCATCCTGTCTATTAAAGTATACCTAATAAGGTATCTAGTACATTAATTTTTAAAATGTAAATTGACCTTTCACGACAAACACACTGAACAAACTAGGAATAGAAGGAAATCACTTTAACATAAAAAGATCATAAAAGAAAAGCCCCCCCAACCTTTTTTTTTTTTTTTTTTTGAGATGGAGTCTCGCTCTGTCGCCCAGGCTGGAGTGCAGTGGTACAATCTTGGCTCACTGCAAGCTCCGCCTCGTGGGTTCATGCCATTCTCCTGCCTCAGCCTCCTGAGTAGCTGGGACTACAGGCGCCCACCACCATGCCCAGCTAATTTTTTAAATTTTTAAATTTTTTATTTTTAGTAGAGACAGGGTTTCACCATGTTAGCCAGGATGGTCTTGATCTCCTGACCTCGTGATCTGCCCATCTTGGCCTCCCAAAGTGCTAGGATTACAGGTGTGGTGGCGGGCGCCTGTAGTCCCAGCTAATCAGGAGGCTGAGGCAGGAGAATCGCTTCAATCTGGGAGGCAGAGGTTGCAGTGAACCGAGATCGTGCCACTGCACTCCAGCCTGGGCGACAGAGCGAGACCCCATCTTAAAAAAAAAAAAAGAAAACTATAAAGATTTTTACCAAAAAATTGTTAGAAGTAATACATGAATTCGGGCCGAGCATGGTGGCTCACGCCTGTAATCTCAGCACTTTGGGAGGTTGAGGTGCGCAGATCACGAGGTCAGGAGATCGAGACCATCCTGGCTAACACGGTGAAACCCTGTCTCTACTAAAAATACAAACAATTATCCAGGCATGGTGGCGGGCGCCTGTAGTCCCAGCTACTCGAGAGGCTGAGGCAGGAGAATGGCGTGAACCAGGGAAGTGGAGCTTGCAGTGAGCCGATATCACGCCACTGCACTCCAGCCTGGGCAACAGAGCCAGACTCCATCTAAAAAAATAATAATAATACATGAATTCACCATACAAAATCAACACCCCAAATCAGTTGTGTTTCTATTTAGTAACAATGAGCAATCCACAAAGGAAATTAAGAAAAATATCCCAACCACAATAGCATCAAAAAGAATAGAATAATTACAAATAAACTTAACCAAGGAGGCAAAAAACTTGAACACTAAAAACTACAAAACGGTGCCGACAGAAATTTAAGGAGACACAAATAAATGGAAGGACATCCTGTGTTCATGGATTTGAAGACTTAATATTGTTAACATGTTCATACTATCAAAATGATCTATAGATTCAATGCCATCTCTATCAAAATGCCAATGCCATTATTTTCAGAAAAGGAAAAATATCCAAAAATTCATATAGAATCTCTAAGGACTCAGAATAGCTGAACCAATCTTGAAAAAGAAGAATAAAGTTAAAGGCCTCATAGTTCCTGATTTCAAAGCATATAACAAAGCTACAGCGATCAGAAAAGTGTGGTACTGGTATAAAGACAGACATATAGACCAATGGAACAGAATAGAGAGGCCAGAAATAAACCCTTGTGTATGCGGTCAAATGATCTTCAGCAAGGATGCCAAGACTACACAATGGAGGAAAGGACAGTCTGCAAGAAATGGTGTTGGGAAAATTGGATATACATATGCAAAAGAGAAGACAGACTCTTACCACATATCTCATATAAAAATTAACTCAAAATAGATTAAAGACTGAAATGTAAAACCTATAAGTACAGAACCTCAAGAAGAAAACACAGAGGAAAAGCTTATGACATTGAAATGAACAATAACTTCTTGTATATGACACCAAAAGCATAAGCAATAAAAGCAAAAATAGACAAATAAGACTACATCAAACTTAAAAACTTCTGTGTAGCAAAGAAAACATTCAACAGAGTGGCAAGGCATCCTACAGAGTGGAAGAAAATATATGCAAACCATATATTTGATAAAGGGTTAATGTTGCTGAGTGCAGTGGCACATGACTATAGTTCAGCTATTCAGAGGCTCAGGTGGGAGGATAACTTGAACCTAGGAGTTCGAGACCAGCCAGAGCAACATAGTGAGACCTCTGACTCAAAAAAAGAAGATAAAGAGTTAAATCCAGGCCAGGCGCTGTGGCTCATGCCTGTAATCCCAGCACTTTGGGTGGCCGAGGCAGATGGATCACTTGAGGTCAGGAGTTCATGACCAGCCTGGCCAACATGGTGAAACCCTGTCTCTACTAAAAATACAAAAAATTAGCTGGGCGTGGTGGTATGTGCCTGTAATCCCAGCTACTCGGGAGGCTGAGGCAGAATAATCGGTGGAACCCGGGAGGTGTAGGTTGCAGTGAGCTGAGATCGCTCCATTGCACTCCAGCCTGGGCAACAGGAGCGAAACTCTGTCTCAAAAAAAAAAAAAAAGAGTTAATATTCAGAATATATGAAGAACTCCTATAATACAACAACAACAAAACAAATAATTAAATAATGAGTGGTATGGACTGAATTTTGTTTCCCCCAAATTCATATGCTGAAGCATATTTAATACCTCAATATGATGGTATTTAAAGATGGAGCCACTGGTAGGTAATTAGGGATAGGTGATGTCATGAGGGTGGGACCCTTAGGATGGCATTAGTGCTTTTGGCCTGGCGCAGTGGCTCATGCCTATAATCCCAGCACTTTGGGAGGCCGAGGAGGTGGGCAGATAATTTGAGGCCAGGAGTTTGAGACCAGCCTGGTCAACATGGTAAAACCCCATCTCTACTGAAAATACAAAAATTAGCTGGTGTGCCCCTGTAGTCCCAGCTACGTGGGGGGCTGAGGCAGGAGAATTGCTTGAACCCAGGAGGTGGAGTTTGCAGTGAGCTGAGATCGCACCACTGAACTCCAGCCTGGGGCAACAGAGTGAGGCTGTCTAAAAAAAAAAAATCTTCTAGTAGATATTATTGCTTTTATAAGAAGAGGAAGAAATTCCTTCTCCTTCCTGATGTGGGAACACAAATAATTCACGTAAATACACAGTGAGATGGAGGTTGCCCACAAGTCAGGAAGAGACCCCTCACCAGAACCCAACCATGCTGGCACTCTGATTTTTTACTTCCAGGCTTCAGAAATGTCAGAAAATAAATTTCTGTTGTTTAAGCCACCCAGTGTGTGGTATTTTCTTGTGGCAGCCTGGGCTGACTAATACAATGGGCAAAAAACTTGAATAGACATTTCTCAAAAGAAGATACATAAATGGCTAAGAAGCATATAAAAATATGCTTAACATCACTAATCATCAGGGAAATGAAAATTAAAACCACAGCGAGATGTCACTTATCCTGTTATGATAGCCTCTGTCAAAAAAACAGAAAATAGCAAGTGTTGGCGAAGATGCGGAGAAATTTAGAACACTTGCTTATTGTTGGTAGGTGGCTTAGTCTGTTTTCTGCTGCTTTCCTAGAATGTAACAGAGTGGGTAATTTATGTGTGTGTGTGGGTTTTTTTGTTTTTGTTTTTGTTTTGACACGGCGTCTCGTTCTGTTGCCCAGGCTGCAGTACAGTGGTGTGATCTCGGCTCACTGAAACCTCTGCCTCCCGGGTTCAAGTGATTCTTCTACTTCAGCCTACCGAGTAGCTGGGATTATAGGTGCACGCCACTATGCCCGGCTAATTTTGTATTTTTAGTAGAGATGGGGTTTCACCAAGCTGGCCAGGCTGGTCTCAAACTCCTGACCTCATGATCCACCTGCCTCGGCCTACCAAAGTGCTAGGATTACAGGCATGAGCCACCATGCCTGGCCCAGAGTGGGTAATTTATAAGGAGAAGAATTATTTGGCTTGTGGTTCTGGAGGCTGGGAAGTTGAAGAGCATGGCCCTGGCATCTTGCAAGGGGCTTCAAACCGCATCATGACATGGTGGAAGCGTAAGTGTGCATGTGAGACAGAGAGAAAGACAGGGAAGGGCCCAACTCATCCTTTTCATCAGGAACCCACTCCTGCAATAACTAACCCACTCCTGTGATAGTGGCGTTAATCCATTCATGAGGTTGGAGCTATCATTACCTAATTCACCTCTTAAAGGCTCCACCTCTTAATACTGTTACAATGGCAATTAAGTTTCCAATACATGAACTTCCACACATTCAAACCATAGTAGTGGGAATGTAAAATGGTGCAGACACTGTAAAATACAGTATAGCACTTCCACAAAAAATTAAAACCAGAACTACCTTATGATCCAGAAATTCCACTTCTGGGTATACAATATATTAAAAAGAATTAAAAACAGGATCTCAAAGAGATATTTGCACACTGATAGTTATTACAGCATTACTCACAATAGACAAGAGGTGAAGCAACCTAATATCCATTGACAAATGAATGGATTTTTAAAATGTGGTATATACATGGAGTGGAATATTATTCAGCCTTAAAAAAGAAGAAAATCTTGTCACATGCTATGACATGGGTGAATCTTGGGGACATTATGCTAAGTGATTAAATAAGCCAGTGACAAAAAGACAAATATTTCATGGCTGATTCCATGTATATGAGGTATCTAAAGTAATCAAATTTATAGAAACAGAATTGCAGTTGCCAGGAGCTGCAGGGAGGAGGAAATGGGGTGTTATTGTTCAATGGGTATAGGGTTTTAGTCATGCAAGATAAAAAGTTCTAGGGATCTATTTCACCACTATGTGCATATAATTAATAAAGTTGTACACTTAAAAATTGTTAGAAGAGTAAATATATGTTATATGATTTCTTACCACAGTAAAAAATAAATTAACTTAAATTAGGGATTTTAACTGAGTTCAGATAAAGATGTATAGATGTGTGGTAAACCATGGGAGATAGATTCCCGCTAAAGAGCCATTCTTTTCATGTCAAAACATTGGCAGAAAAGCAAACACTGGCCTTTCATACCTCTTACAGTATTTTTAGGTCCTAAGGAATCTAAAATCCATAGATGGGGAAATCGTAGACCCAATCCAAGTTGCTTTCTCTAGTTTGGGTAGATTGACTCTTTTTACTTCTAAACTCTCCTAACCAAGCAGTAGAAGAGGAAATGAGCTTCACACTTCTATTTTATAATTATGATACATTATTTTATTTACCTGATGCTGTCTCTGGTCAGTGACATATGGGAAAGATCAGGGAAACTAAACAGCTCTCTCAAACCCGCTCCAGAATCGAGACAAAGAAGTAGATTCATTTTGGTATAAGAGGATCATATAGTATGATTAAATGTACATAAATGATATATCTTTACTTAATATTATTTCTTCTTCTAAGAAATTTAAATCAATATTATGAGATTGGTATTAGAAAGCTTTTTCGTGGATTTACAGTTTAATTAAGTTTGCTTTCATTGTTCTATGATGTATTAACAATGTTTAGCAAACACAATTTAAAAAAAAAAAAAGAATGACAAATTTTAAACATATAGAAAACAATGGAGAATGGTACTGGAAAACCTATACATCCATCACCATTCAGTCCAATGTCAACATTCTGTCACAATTGTTTCAGATCTTTTTATGTGTATTTCAAAATTTAAAAACAAAAATAAAAACATACAAAAAAACTAACCAAGCCACAGTGAAGCCACCTGCCAGCCCTTCCTTCTTTTGTTGTGATGATAAATGTTCTGAATTTGGCACTCTTATTCACATTTAGATTTTATACATTTACCACTTATTATTGTATCTATAAATACTATATATATTTTACAAGTTTTAAAACTTTATATGAGGCCAGGTGTGGTGGCTCATGTCTGTAATTCCAGCACTTTGGGAGACCAAGGCGGGTGGACTGAGGTGGGTAAGGAGTTCAAGACCAGCCTGGCTAATATGGCAAAACCCCATCTCCACCAAAAATACAAAAATTAGCTTGGCGTGGTGGCACATGCCTGTAGTCCCAGCTATTCAGGAGACTGAGACAGGAAAATCGCTTGAACTTGGGAGGTGGAGGTTGCAGTGAGCTGATATTGTGCCACTGCACTCCAGCCTGGGCAACAGAATGAGACTCTATCTCAAAAACAAAAACAAAAACAAAAACAACAAACAAACAAACAAACGTTATATGAATAACCTCTTACTGTATATACTGTCTTGCATTTTGCTTGTTTGTTGAACATTTATGCTTTTGAGGGAAGATTCTTTTTCCTTTGTTAAATTCTGAAATGTAGCTGAGACCTAAACCCAGGCTGGTTTCAGGAGGTCACTATTTTTCCCGCCCTGAGACGGAGTCTTCTCATTCTGTTGCCCAGGCTGGAGGGTGGTGGCACAATTTAGGCACACTGCCACCTCTGCCTCATGGGTTCAAGCTATTCCCCAGCCTCAGCCTCCTGAGTAGCTGGGGTTATAGGCACCCACCACCACACCCGGCTAATTTTTTTTTTTTTTTTAATTTTTAGTGGAGACGGAGTTTCACCATGTTGGCCAGGCTTGTCTCAAACTCCAGACCTCAAGTGATACGACCACCTTGGCCTCCCAAAGTGCTGGGATTACAGGTGTGAGCCACTGTGCCTGGCCAGGAGGTCACTTCTAAATCTTCCTGGGGGCTATGCACGGTGCCTCATGCCTGTAATCCTAGCACTTTGGGAAGCTGAGGTGGGAGGATCGCTTAAGCCCAGGAGTTTGAGGCTGCAGTGAGTTATGATTGCACCACTGCACTCCAGCCTGGGTGACAGAGTGAGACCTTGTCTGTAATAATAGTAACAATCACCATCATCATCATCATCATCATCATCATCATCATCATCATCCCAGCACTTTGGGAGGCCAAGGCAGGCGGATCACTTGAGGCCAGGAATTTGAGACCAGCCTGGCCAACATGGTGAAACCCCATCTCTACAAAAAATACAAAAATTAGCTTGGCATGGTGGTGCACATCTGTAGTCCCAGCTACTCGAGAAGCTGAGGTGGGAGAATTGTTTAACCCGGAAGGCAGAGGCTGCAGTGAGCCAAGATTGCACCATCCAGCCTGGATGACAGAGGGAGACCCTGTCTCAAAAAAATAAAAAATAAAAATAGGCCAGGCGTGGTGGCTCATGGCTGTAATCCCAGCACCTTGGAAGGCCAAGATGGGTAGATCACCTGAGGTCGGGAGTTCGAGACCAGCTTGACCAACACGGAGAAACCCCATCTCTACTAAAAAAAATTTACAAAAAATTAGCTGGGAGTAGTGGTGGATGCTTGTAATCCCAGTTACTTGGGAGGCTGAGGCAGGAGAATCGCTTGAACCTGGGAGGTGGAGATTGCAGTGAGCCAAGATCATGCCATTGCACCCCAGCCTGGGCGAAAAGAGCAAAACTCCATCTCAAAAAAAAAAAAAAAAAAAAATCCTACTTCCCTTCCCTCTTACCTTGCTGCCTAGGGGTCCATTCTTCATCAGAATCTTCTGTGTCATCCACCTGGAGTTTGATGGCCTGCCTTCGGTGACACATGAAAGCTGGTCGAGTGGCTCTGAGACCTGAAAAGAAGCAAAAATTTTGTTCTAAAATGGAAGAGCTGGGAGAAGGAACAAAGGGCAGTGGCAATGGAAAGCACCACAAAGCCAGTGCTGCTCAGTCTGATGAGCTGGGAGAGTCTTGAACAAGGTCAAGATGTGACCTCTGCATGGTCAATATCCACACTCAGCCCTGCACTGACGCAAAAGAACAAAATTTCCCTCCAGATTTGTCTACATGAAAAAGGGAATTGTGGGCAGATGCCACCACCTGAGAACTAAAATAATATAGGGACCAAAGACCTGTTTTATGTCTCCCAGGCTGGTCTGTGCCCAGCACTTCCTGTTACCTATAGTAATCAGTGCATTATAGTTCCTTTTCACATTCCTATAGCGAGTTTTCTCCCAGTCTCCCATCTCTGCCCATTCTTCCTTGGTGAAGTATATGGAAATGTCTTTGAAGGCATCTTTGACCTAGAGGAAGTAACAGATTCCATCAGTGATTTACTAGTACACATCAAGCTGGTCCTTTTCCTCTACCCTGTGTGTAGGACATAGCCTGGGGCCTCTGGGAGTCTCTGTGAAACATAAAGATCTTCCCTCCTTCTCCAGACTGTGTCCCATTTAACTGAGCAGACCCTGAGCATTTTCCTAGCTCTCTGCTGACACAGAGCAGTCGCTGATGCTAGTGTTCTTTTCTCCCCCATGTCCTGGCCAGGACCAGCTGCCCCCATTCCATGCACATTCAGATAGGGTCCCCCAAGGGTACAGGCCAGGAGTCTGCAGCACTCCAGAGATCAGCTCCTGCTAGGAGTCCAGCTTCGCTTCCTCCACTTCTCACCATGGGCTTCCGCTCTGTTCTCTCTGTGTCTTCTTCTGGGCTCTCCTCTTGGGACTTTTCAGGGCTCATGGTGCTGGGACTGTCTAGAAGGCCCTGCTCCAATTCTGAGTGTGAGAAGGGCCCTGAGTCTCCCAGCTCCTAGGCCAAAGGCTCCTGTGGAAGGAGAAGGTGCTGAGAGGGGGCAACAGCCCTGAGCACTACCCAGAACCAGGCTCTGTCTTCTCCATCTGGCTGGGTGTTCAGAGCAGGAAGATGTGGATTCCTGGTGAGGTCTCGAGCACCCCAGGGAGATTTGAGGGTACTGATGGGATGGGAAGGCCTCCACTGGCCATGAGCTACCACCTAATGTAAGCTGGATTTTGTTCTTTTAGTTCCCCTGCAGCTAGGCTCATTTGGAGAAGGGTGGCACAGGTGCCTGGAGGGTTGTAGCTACCGGTGTTTGAGGGGAGTCCTGAGGTGTGAGAGCCAGAGGAGTCCCAAGGAGACCTTGAGGCCCCCCGACTGCTGAGACTTGGGTCAGACTGAGGGGCAGAGTTCTGTTTCAGCGAGACAAAATGAACATTTCGCATAGACAGGATTTGGGGACCTCTACCTGAGGATTCTAGAAAAATCCAGGAGTAAAGCAGTCTGCATCTCTAAGGGGAAGCTATTTCTCAGGTTGAGATTTGGGGTCCCTCAGGCTGAGGGGATTTGAGATGTCTTAGACTGAAGAAATTGGGGTTTTTCAGGTTGAGGAAATTTGGGGTATCTCGAGCTGAGGAGCTTTGGTATCCCTCAGGCTGATAGTATCTGTGGTTTTTTCAGGATGAGATTTGGGGTCTTTTAAGCTGAAGAGATTTGGAGTGCTCAAGCTGACAGGATTTGAGATTCATCAGGTTAAGGGGATTTGGGGTTCCTCAGGATGAAAGGATTTGAGATCTTTGAGGCTGAGGAAATTCTGGGTCTCAGGTAAAGGAGATTTGGATCTCTCATTAAGGGGTTTTAGGGTCTTTGACACTGAGGTTATTTGGTCCTTGAAGCTGAAGGGATTGAGTTTTCAGGCTATTTAGGTTATCTGAGGTTGGGGAAATTTGGTCTGTCTGTGGGTGAGATATTTAGGGTTCCTCAGGCTGAGGGATTTGGGTTGCCTTAGGGTGAGGGGAATTGCGGCTTCTCAGGCTCAGAATATTTGGTGCTCTAAGCATTAGGAGATTCGCTGTTCCTCTGGGTGAAGGGATTTGGAGTCTCTGAAGCTGAGGTACTTTGGGGGTTTCATGCTGAGGGGATTTTAAATCCCTCAAGGTGGCAGGATTTGGGGTCTCTTGAGGCTGAGAGGATTTGGAGCTTCCCAGGGTGAGGGGATCTGGGGTCTCCCAAGCTAAAATTTGAAGGTCTCGGGATGAGGGTTTACAAGGGTTTCACGCTGCACGACAAAGGCTCCCCATGCTCTTCACAGTCTCCCGTGCTCTCCTGCCGCGGCGTTCACCCTGGCCGGGCGTTCTCTCAGAGTCCCTCAGGAGGTGAGATGTGGTGGAGGGCGAAGTGCCAGGCTGTACAGCTGCCAGCCAATCAGCACGGAGACCAAGGCGAGCCCGCCATTCGGCAGTCAGGAGGCGCTAAATGGGCGGGGAGTAGGGCGGAGCCTTGCCTGTCAGTCACGGGCACAACCCGGTTTGGGGCTCAGGAGGTGGGGGAGGGGCCTGGCTCTTCCCGCCCCTGAGGAAGGTCCCTCCCCTCCCAGAGGGGATTGCGTGTAACCCTCCGGCGCGCAGGCGCAGTTTCGAGGGTTTTATTACTTGGTTTTCCCCAACTCCGGTGTTTGCGACTGAGTCGGGCGTCGGGGCTGCTCCTCACGTCCCTCCGCAGGCCTGGGTCTTCCAAGGGGACACTGTGTCTTTTTGAATTGCCAGAGTTCTTGCACTGATTCTCATCTGGGAGGGTTGGTGTTCCTTTAACTGTGGTGTAAGTTGGGTATTGTCAGCTGGCTTCGTTTCTGGATGCTTCAGAGGGCCAGGGTTCTGTACAGGACCCTTACGTGTGGGTGAATTGTGCTTGGTTTCACAGATGTTGTATTAGCTGGCCAATTTTGGTGTTGTAGTTAGGGCCGTGATCCAATAGATGGTGCTTAAGAGGCACGGCTGCTATCTCCGGTAGCAAGGCTCTTTTGTACTTTGCGTTCGCAGGCGTGCTTTGCGGTGAGACGGGAGAGCAATAGCCCTTTACCAGCTCCTAGGTCTTGGGGGAGCCTCCTGTAATCACTGGTGGCTGCCTGCGTTGCTTTTGTTAGGTGTTCTGGGCTGCGGGGCTCCCTCGGGCAGAGGCTGCATAGGTCGCCCCTTTTCTGGACTGGCCCTCTGGAGGGAGGCATGCCTCGCTCCCTCGCTGCCCAGTGTCCCAAATGTCTCACCTCTCTCAGTGCTCTGAGAGTGGGGGCTCCTCCCCCGTTCAAGTGCTAGCCACAGATCTCCCCCCCGCCCCCGGTATCCCTAGCTACGTGCCACAGCCCTGGGGACACCAAGAAGTATGGCTTGAGGTTGGGCTCTCGCTGTGCTGGGGAATCCAATGTACTCCTGGGTCACGGGTAAGGTACTCAGGTGGAGCGATGCACTCAGGCTGGGCTGCAGAGGCTGCACTGTGTGTGCACCTGCTCTTGCAGAGTGGCTAGGCATGGGCCCTGGGAGGGGCCAGTGGGCAGGAGGACTTTCAGAACAGAGGCACCCAAGTCCCACAGGGAAGCTGCCCCTGCTGTCTCCTGGGTCAGAGGTCAGCTAATGCCAGAGTCTCCTGCAAGGAGATACGGAGCCTGGGGGATTGGCATCTCTATTAGTCCGTTCTCGCACTGCTATAAAGAAATACCTAAGACTGTAATTTCTAATGAAAATAGATTTAATTGGCTTATTGTTCGGCAGGCTGTACAGGAAGCATGATGCTGGCACCTGCTTGGCTTCTTGGGAGACTTACACTCATGGCAGAAGGTGAAAGGGGAGTCAGCACTTCACGTGGCCAGAGCAGGAGGAAGAGAGAAAGGCGGGGAGGTGCTATACACTTTTAAACAACCAGATCTCACTATACAGTTCCAAAGAGGGATGGTGCTAAACCATTCATAAGAAGTTTGTCCTGTGACAAACTTCACAGGCCTCCCACCAGGCCCCACCTCCAACACTGGCGATTACATTTCAACATAAGATTTGGACAGGGACACAAATCCAAACCATATCATTCCATTATATGGAATGCTACCGTATGATGCATTATCTGTTATCATTAACTCAAAATAAATTAAAGACTGAAATCTAACACCTAAAAGTACAGAACTCCAAGAAGAAAAAAAATAAAATCTTTATAACATTGGAATGAGCAATTACTTCCTGGATATGACACCAAAAGCATAAGCAACCAAAGCAAAATTAGATAGATGGGAGTACGTCAAACCTAAAAACGTCTGTGTAGCAAAGGAAACAATCAACAGTGACAAAGCAACCTATATAGAACGGGAGAAAACATTTGCAAATCATATAACTGATAAGGAGTTAATATCCAGAAACTTATAAAAAAAAGTCTTAAAGCTCAACAACAAAAAATAACTTGATTAAAAAATCAAAGGTGGGATGCAGTGGCTTATACCTGTAATCCCAACACTTTGGGAGGCCAAAGAGGGAGGACTCTTTGAGGCCAGGAGTTTCAGATTAGCCTGGGCAACATATTGAGGCCCATCTCTACCAAATTATGTTTTTTTAATTAGCTGGGTGTTGTGGTCCCTGCCTTAAGTCCAAGCTACATGGGAGGCTGAGGTGGGAGGGTCACTTGAGCCCAGGAGTTCAAGACTAGCCTGGGCAACATAGGGAGATCCCGACTACAAAAAATTAAAAAATTAGCTGGGTGTGGAGGCACTTGCCTGTAGTCCCAGCTACTTGGGAGGCTGAGGCAGGAGAGTTGGTTGAACCCGGGAGATGGAGGCTGCAGTGAGCCAAGATTGCACCACTGTACTCCAGCCTGGGTGACAGAGTGAGACTCCATCTCAAAACAAAACAAAACAAAACAAAAAACAAAACCAAACAAAAAAACCCCCAAAACCTAGGAGTGCCTCTATGGTGAGAGTATGTTTAACTTTAATAAAAACTGCCATATTGTTTTCTGAAGTTGCTGTATCATTATGCATTCCACTAGCATTGAACGAGAGTTCCTGTTGCAACTTATTTTAATTTTATTTATTTATTTGTTTTTTTGAGAGAGAGTCTTGCTCTGTAGCCCAGGCTGAGTGCAGTGGTGCGAACACTGCTCACTGCTGCCTCTACCTTCCAGGCTCAAGCAATTCTCCCATCTCAGCTGGGATTACAGGTGTGTGCCACCAGGGCTGGTTAATTTTATTTTATTTTTAAATTTTTGGTAAAGATGGGGGTCTCACATGTTGCCCAGGCTGGTCTTGAACTGGTTTCAAGTGATCCTCCCGACTTTGCTTCCCAAAGTGATGGGATTACAGGCATGAGCCACTGTTCCCAGCCTCCTGTTGTAATTTTTATTACATTAAAAAAAGGTTTTAGTCACATTAGTAGATGCTCAGTGGTATACCATTGTTGCATTAATTTGCTTTTCCCTATGACAAGTGCCATGAGCATTCTTTTGGATGCTTGTTTGTTGTCTTATCTTTTTTAGTGAGGTGTCTACCTTTTAATTGTGTTGTCTTCTTGCTGAGCATTAGAATTTCTTTGTATATTTTGCATATAAATCCCTTTCAGGTTTGTTTTATAAATATTTTCTCTCAGTCTGTGGCTTGGTTTTTCATTCTCGTAGCAGGATGTTTCAGAGTAGACATTTCAAATTTTAATAAAGTCCACATCATCAATTCTTTTTCTTTGATGGACTTGCTTTTGCTATTGTATCTAAAAATTTATCACCAACCCAAATCCATGTAGGTTTTCTTCTATAACTTCTACAATTTTATATTTGGAAATTTAAGTCTATAGATTATCTTGAGTGATTTTTTGGTTGAGCCATGAAGTTTGTGTCTTTGTGGGTAATTTATAAAGAAAAGAGGTTTAATTGGCTCATGGTTCTGCAGGCTGTCCAGAAAGCATGGCTTGGGAGGCCTCAGGAAATTTACAATCACGGTGAAAGGCAAAGAGGAAGGAGGCACGTCTTACATGGCTGGAGCAGGAGGAAGAGGGTGAAGGCACAAGTTCTACCCATTTTTAAACAACCAGATCTAATGGGAACTTATTATCACAAGGACAGCAAGAGAGAATTTACCACCATGATGTAATTACCTGCCAACAGATCCCTCCTTCAACATACGGGATTACAATACGACATGAGATTTGGGCAGGGACACCAATCCAAACCATATCACAAGCATAAGAGAAATGTGTTATCTTTCATTGCTTCAAGTATGTATGTGTGTGTTTCTTTGTTAAAAAAAAATAAACATTTTTATCTCTTGCCATGTCAGTGGGGGAATCTATACAGCTACAATTATAGACCATACTTTAAAAGAGTTAGTTGTAAGTTTAAGATGAATAAAACCTGAAGCAAATGAAAATCCATACTTTCTCCAGGATTTTATAAAGTGTTAGAGGATAGTGGTTTCATATCAGTCTCTTTAAGTGCAAACCGTATGCCAATTTTGTAAAAACCTGCATTAATAAAGCATTATTTTAAGGACCATTGGGGAGATGAAAAATAAAGGATAAATTATCTTATTTCTTAATGCACAATTTAGTAGATGAAAAGACATACTTCAATAAATTGGTATTTGTACTTTTTAGTTTGCTAATTTTATCTTTATTTTTCCAAATGAATAGTAACCATGCTTTTTAACGTGTTAAACAAAACTGCTATTACCTTATATGTGAGATTCAAGTTCTAAAGATTCAAAAGCTTTACCTCAAATTTCAATAATGTTTGAAAATGTCTTGCTGAACTTTAAAGAAATGTGTGCAATTTGTGCAATCAATAACAGTGTGGCAAACTTACTTTGCATATTGCTTTTTTTTTTTTTTTTTTTTTTTAGATGGAGTCTCACTCAGTTGCCAGGCTGGAGTCCAGTGGCACAATCTCGGCTCACTGCAATCTCTGCCTCCTGGGTTCAAGTGATTCTCCTGCCTCAGCCTCCCGAGTAGCTGGGATTACAGGCACACACTACCACACTCAGCTAATTTGTGTATTTTTAGTACAGACGAGGTTTCACCATGTTGGCCAGGATGGTCTCAATCTCCTGACCTCGTGATCCGCCTACCTTGGCTTCCCAAAGTGCTGGGATTACAGGCGTGAACCACTATGCCTGGCCCACATACTGCTTTTATGTAACTTTGTTTTATATCAGTAAACTTCTGGTTTATTTCTCCTACAACTCACCATGAAAAACATCAATGAGATAACTAGAATATCTGCTTTTCCTTATGACCAATTAGTGTGTGTCCTAGAAGGATTAATCCTCCTGCAAAAACAAAGCCACACTAATGACCTTATCAGGTTCCACTTGAAATAAAGAATAGACAATACACAGAAGGGAGATTCAAGACCGTTCTTTTTTTTATCTCTTTCCCTGTCGTATACTCAGGCGACCAAAGAGCATATGAAGACATGATTAAATATCCTTTTGGTCATCAGCTTCGAAACCTTCCTGCCAGCCAAAGCTGGAATTTTCTTCTAAAAAGGAGGAGAAAATTATACTCTCAGACCTAAATATTAAAAAGTTGAAATTGCAAATGGTATACTGGGGGGCATCTTGAGTACCTTCAGGAAATAAAATTATCACTGCCCTAACTAAGGCATGAATGAAGCCACCAAAGGATGAATAATTACGGGTGAGTTTGGAGGGTCACATCAAAAGATGTAAGATAGAAGAATCAAAAGAACTTGGAGACCAATTAGGTATGGAATTTGAAGAGGAAGGTGTAATCAAGTATAATTCACATTTTCCATCATAGCTATTCACTAAGATGATGTTTCTTCAAAACAAATTTTAAAAGACATACATAAGCATTATTTATTTTAAACACTTGCATAGTAAGTCTTTTAGTACATAGTTGCACATAGAGGAAGACAGGGACCATTTATTTATTTAAAGCTTGTCAAGAATTCAGCCATATATTTCCCAAATATTTACTGAAGGCAACTATGTACCAGGCACTGGTTTTGGTTTGGATATAAAACGGGCAACTAAGTTACGGTTTCTCTTTTACTTATAGTGCTTGTATTTTACTTAATACTACATTCTCAATCAAACTGTTACCCAAATAAATTTATGTTAAATTCTATGAAGGAAGAATGTGTATTGTGCTAAAAGTTCATAACTGAAGGATCCTGTGCTAGTGGGGCAGGATAAAGGGTACAGGAAGCAACATTAGAACCAGGGTCTGAAAGATGACAATACACTAGCCTACAGGGTAAAATCAGTCTGATGGGAAGAGGGAGAGAAGGTGAATGTATTTCACATGGCACCAATGTCATGGAAAATGTAAAAAAAGATGAAGATAAAAATGCAAGTGGGAGATAGACCATACGGGTACATATAAATTTTATTCTCAGTTGTATTACAAGTAGTGTTTTGACTGGCAGTATAATATGCATAACCACAGCTTATGAATGTCAGAAACTGTACACTTGGTTATAAACAACCATATGCCAACAAATCGAAAAGCCTGAAGAAAATGGGTAAGTTTCTACACACATTCAACCTGCCAAAAATGAACCAAGAAGAAATAACAAACCTGAATAGATGAATAAGTTGTAACAAGTTTGTGTCAGTAATAAAAAGTCTCCCAACAAAAAAAAGCCCAGGACCTGATGGCTTTACTTCTGAATTCTATCAAACTTTTAAAGAACTAACACCAATCCTCAAACTATTCAAAAATATTGAAGAGGAGGGAATTCTTCCTAATTCATCCCATGAGGCCAGCATTATCCTGATACCAAAACTAAACAAGGACACAAAAACAACAAAAGCTAAAGGCTAATATCCATGATTAACATAGAAGTAAACATCCTTAACAAGATACTAGTAAACAAAATTCAACAGCACATCAACAAGACAATACACCAGGATCAAGATAATTTATTCTAGGGATGCAAGGATTCTTCAATATACACAAATAAATAAATATGATACACCATGTCAAAAGAATAAAGGACAAATGCCATAAGATCATCTCAATAGAAGCATGAAGAGCATTTGATAAAGTGCAAGACCTATTCATGAAAAAAACTCTCAATAAATTAGTTATAGAATAAACATACCTCAACACAGAGTGCAAAGTTTGGAATATGTGCAGTCTGGCAAAGTGGTAGGAAAAAAAATAAATTTCTGCAGAAGAATTCAAGCCAGATGCTGAAATCTGTGTAAGTAAAAAGTAGCCAAATGTTGATAACAAAGATAATGGAGAAAACGGGCATTTTAGAGACCTTCATGGCAGCTCCTCCCATTAGAGGCCTGGAGGCCTAGGAAGGAGGAAAGATTTCATGGGTCCAGGGTCCCACTGTTCTGTGAAGCCCCAGAACATGTGCCCTACAGCCCAGGCACTCCAACTTTAGTCATTACTAAAAGGCCCCAGATACATCTCAGCCTGAAGCTCCAGAAGATGTAAACAATAAGCCTTGGTGGCTTCCAGGTGGTGCTAAGCCTATAGGTGCAGAGAGGGAAAGAGTTGAAGCTTGGGAGCCTCTGCTTAGGTTTCAGAAGATGTATGGAAATGCCTGGATGTCCAGGCAGAAGTCTACTGCAGGGGTAGAGCCTTCATTAAGAACCTACTTCAGCAGTTCAGAGGGGAATTGTGGGGATGGAGCCACCACACAGAATCCCCAATGCGGCACTGACTAGTGGAGCTGTCAGAAGTAGGCCACCATCTGCCAGATCCCAGAATGGTAGATTCATCATCAGCTTGCATAATGTGCCTGGGAAAGCCACAGGCAGTCAATGTCAGCCCGTAAAAGCAGCTGAGGAAGCTATACCCTGCAGAGCCCAAGGGGCAGAGCTGCCCAAGGTTTGGAATCTCACCCTTATATCACTGTGGCCGGGTGTGAAACATGGAGTCAAAGGAGATCATTTTGGAGTTTTAAGATTTAATTACTGCTCTGCTAGTTTTCAGACTTGCATGGAGCCTGTATCCATTTTGTTTGGCTGATTTCTCTCCTTTGGAATGGGTGTATTTACCCAATGCTTGTAACCCCATTGTATCTTGGAAGGAAGTAATTTGTTATTGATTTTACAGGCTCATAGGTGGAAGAAACTTTCCTTGCTTCAGATGAGATTCTGGATTGTGGAGTTTTGAGTTAATGCTGAACTGGGATAAGACTTGGAGGACTGTTCAGAAGGGATAAATGTATTTTGCAATGTGAGAAGGACGTGAGATTTGAGAGGGGCTAGGGTCAGGATGATATGGTTTAGATTTGTTTCCCACTCAAATCTCATGTCAAGTTTTATTCCCCAGTGTTGGAGGAGAAGCCTTCTGGGAGGTGATTGGATTATGGGGATGGATTTCTCCCTTGCTGTTCTCATAATAGTGAGTGAGTTCTCCTGAGATCTGGTTGTTTGAAAGTCTGTAACACTTTACCTTTTGCCTCTTCCTCCTGCTTCAGCCATGTAAAACGTGCCTTGAACTGTGAGTCAATTAAACTTCTTTTCTTTATAAATTGCCCCATCTCAAGTAGTTCTTTATAGCAATGCAAGAACAGACTAATACAGCTTACTTATGTGTTATAATATATCTTGTATGTAAGGCTAATGTGTTGGGCCCTATTAACATGTTGAATAATCCGTTACTAAAAATCCCCCCAATGAACAAGCATATGTCATGTGAAACAAGCATATGTCCTGGGTCCATGTTATTTGACATGTAGATTATGAAAGATGGTAAGTTAAAACAACAAATCTTTGACTCTTCTTTGCCACATCTATTGTTTTTTCCTCTGGCCAGCTTGTTTATTTACAAAAAAATACCACATCAACCTCTCTACACACATATACCTTTCTGATTGAAAAATGTTATGAAGAAGAAAATTATTTCTTGAGGCTAAGAAGACGATTGTATGTTTCTCATATCTTAAGGACTCATTTAAGGGTTGCAAGTAAAGAACAATGTGCATAATCACATTCCAGTTGTCCGAAATCTAGCTGAAGTTAGGAATCATGTTTCCTTAATTTTTTTAAGGCTATGCTATTAATATTTTGAGTAAGTGCATTAATTTTTTAAAATTTATTAAAGACTGAGATTGTCATCTGTATTTAATAAAACAAACATATTTAAATACTGATCAGTTTATAATTTGTATCATTATTTCTATTTTTATACCTACTTAAAGTATATATTTATATTATCTCTTTGGAGCATCTCTTTTACTAGCAGATTTTTTACTCAGTTTAAATTTCACAAACCAAATGGAGGATTTGTTGTGCTCCCTGTGTTGCCTCATAACTCTTAATTAAAGATTTATGCGTAGTCCATGGAAAGTAGAAAGCCTGTCATTAAAATTAAGAATCATCACCCTCCATTGAATTTTGTCAGGTGCATAATGTGTCACTGAGAAAGCATTCTGATTCTTATCAATGCAAATTTCCAAAGCTGAGAAATAACCAGGGGAAAAGAGAACATTATTGAATAAAGAGCAAATATAGCAATCTTTGTTTTATCTAGATTAGCAAAAAATTACATTAAATAACCCATATAGATAATTACTAAATTCAGCACCCCAAAACATTTTGTCAGATTGAGTAACTAGCTTTAAGGTGGTTCTTTTACTTCTTTTTTCTTTACCAATTCTAGAAAAAAGATTAAAGAATATTGATAGAAAAATTTCTGGTAGCATGGGGAGACCATAAATGAGTTATAATAATGCCCTGGTTCCAAAGGACCCAATTTTTTTCTCCCCATTATTCATCACCATGTCCTAAGCCTTTAAAGCATTACCTGAATCATACTAGATTCCCATAAATATCTCTCTCATTGTTGGACCATCTGTTTATTTGGAGTATTTTTCTAAAATGCAAAATACGCTTTCTCGAACATAAGCACAATTTACATTGTAATATAAAAAGCAGCATAAGCAGAGAAGTTATGTCCTTGACTTTCCCTCTTCCTGTCTCTGCCAAATCACTGTCATGTGTATGTTATTTATTATTTTCTTTATTTTTCTCAAATATTTTAAGCAAATGAAATTATATTTTTATCTGTATACCTTTTGGAATAAAGGAGAACACTATATATAATATTTAGAAGCTGATCTTTCAGTTTATCAACATATCCTGGTGAGTTTTTCCTAGTAAAAATAAATTCTTATATTCATTTTTTTCTGCCTTTTTTTTCTTTTAGAGGACTATAACCCATTTTCTATTAATGAGCACATGGAATCTTTATTGCATTTTTCTATCATAAACACTTCTACAATAATTGTGCCTGCATAAGATTTATTCTATATTTATACTGCTGTATTTCTGAAATAGAATTCCAAAATTCATAATTTTGTCAGGTACTGCCAGATATTCCTCAATAAATGCTGTTCTATTTTCTACCCACACAATGAACGCATTAAAATGCTGTCTCCCTAGATTGTTACAGGTGTGAATTGCTGGGTTTTACTTGCATTTATCTTACCATGAGGCAACTTGACCACTTTTTCATATATATCAATGCTGTTGCTACTTTTTCTGCTTTCCTGTGCCTTCAGCCCATTATTTTTAAATCAGCATGTTGGTCATTTTCTTCTGAATTGTAGGTGTTCTGTGCAATGTGGGAATATTCTCCTTTATTTGTAGTATGAATTGCAAATATTTTTCTAGTTTGTTATTTTTACCTATCTCTTTTTTGCTTGTGATGTTTTTAACAGCTTCTACATTGAAACAGATATTACATATTTCATTATTGTAAAAATGTTGCAATACTTTTTATACTTTATGGTTTAATGTTTTACAAGTAAGTTCTTAACTATTTGACATTTATCTTATAATGTAGAAAGAAAAATTCTGAATCTAAATTACCTTCCAGTTATCTCAATATCTTTTACTAGGAAGTCATTTTATAAACTCACTGATTTTAAATGCTTTCTTTGTCTTATATAAATTGTCTATTTATGAATATATACATTTAAAAATATATGTATTAATTGTATTATATGAAATAGACATGTACTCTGTTCATGTTTCAATATCATAATGGCTTAAATATTGGTAAATTATACCATGTTTTAATTATTGAAGTTCTAATACTTCCCACCAACCACTTAACATTTTTTTTGTGCTAGAAAATTTCTAGAAAGTTTTCCTTGTTCACTTCTGCATGTGTCGGTGTCAGCTTGTCTACTTACAAAAACAGAGATTAATTAAATTAGATTTAATTTAAATTAAATTAATTTAAATGAATGAATTCAAATTAAATTCATGAAATAAATTAAATTAAATTAAATTAAAATTTAATTCATTCATTTATATTTGACTAATTTTAAATTATGTTATAGACCATTTCTTTATATACATTTTACATATATTTTGTAGTTTTTACTTGTTCTTGTTAATATTGATGATGTAACATAGATCTCCTTTATACTTTAAAGCCAGTTCTTCTTGCTTGCATGCATGTGTATATCTGTGCATGTATGTGCACTCACACGTTTGTAAAGTCTATTCATATTTATATGTAAAATCTATTGTTTATATTTTATCTATATATGTATATATGATATATAAAAATCATATATGTGAAAATAACATATTTATATAGTTTATTGATGCTGTTATATTTGTTTTATATCTCACTAATAAAACATTTCTTGTCATTTTAATTTGATCTTATAGAACTTCCACTTTTATTTTCATATGATCTAAAAGAGATCTAATTTTATGTTTTTCTAATTCTATAATTGCAACTTTAATATCTATAAGTTGTTTATTGCATTCTCTAACACTTCCATTATAGTCATGAATACATTACTTTTGAAAGCCTATCTCAAATAATCCTTTATTGATAAGAAAACTTGATTTTGAGATATACATATATATTTGGGTATACATGCATATACATATATATGTTACAGATATAGATATATGAAATAATGATTTAAAAGAATTTTCATTAACTTATATTGATGTAATAGTTATGACTCAACAGTTTTGGATATTGCCAAGTGAATTTTCAGTATATTAGGTAATATTTATGTGATTTTTTTTCCTCCTGGGATCTCTTATTGTGATAAATTATATTAAAACATTTTCAAATGTTGAGTTATCCTTTTGTTCCCAGACTAAATCCCACTTTAATATCATGCTGTATTGTTTCATCTACATGTAAGTGAGATGTACTTACAGATTTTTAAGAACCAGTTAACAGAGTTTGTATAAATAGCACATTCACTTCTTATAAAGCTTTTAAATATTTATCTTTCTCTGTCTATGTCTTTCAACAAGATCTGGAATTCTTAATAGCACTGATAAAATCTTCTCTTACACTTTGATAGTGTATATTATAATCTAGTAAATATAAATGAGCCAGGCACATGGAGAAGGAAGCCTGTTCTAAGGATAGTAGTATTTGAAAAATATTTTTTATTTATTCTAGATATTTTTCCCATATACATTTTGTCTCTTGTTCAATATTATAAAATTTATATTTTTCTAAAAATTATCTATTTTTTGCATATAGCTGTGCAAAATATCTGATAATTTTTTTAATTTCCTCTATTTTCTTGATTAATTTTCTCTTCTCATTTTTATGAATGATGTGTGTGTTTGTATACCCTTCCCCTTTAAGGCTGCCTAGATTAGCTTGTGATAGAACTATTTTGCAGAATTTTCAAAGGACAAGCTTTATAATGTATTCACTTTACTTTTTTCTAGGTCTTTAATTTCTTCCTCATTCTTCATTAAATCTTTTGTCTTTTCTTTGGTTTGTTTTTTCTGTTTGTTATTGAAATTATGAAATTTTAAAATCATTTTTTACATTTTGCTTTATATTGATCTAAGATTTCAAGCTACAGGTTTTTTTCTGAATGAATTTTGTCTAAATACACTGTGTTTTCATTATCCCTGGCTTAGAGAAATATAACACTTACAGTTTGAATTTCTGCTTTGACCTAAAATGATCTGTTTAATAAAAGCATTTAAAAATTTGCATTAAAAAGTCTGAATTTTTTGAATATATATGTGGTAATATCCTGTTTTGATTTTCATTTCTACTTATTCTCTGTGTATTTTTGAGATAGTAGTATAGAGGTCGTAAGCTTAAATAAAGATAGAATGTGTTAAGAACTGCACCCTCACTCCCCAGGACAGCACCAGTAATATTGCTGGTACTGAATAAATGTTTTCTGATTCAATATTGACAAAGCAAATTACATTTTCTTCTGAACTTTCACCAATCATGTTAGCTTCCTAAGGGCAGAAATTTTGAATGCTGCATATATAGAGTATTATTACTTTCTTTATCTCTATGTAAATATTGTTATACTTTGCACACACACACATACACAAACAAGAAAAAGCAAATAACAGTATTACTTAGAGTGATAGAATTCATTTTACCACAATATCTTTTCCATCATTGTTTGCTTTTTTCTTGCATTTTCTAAACTAACATAAGTCAGGCTACTAATTATGTACAAAGAAATAAAAATTGTCAGAGAAGGAATAAATACAGGTAAAATAAATGTTTTTTAAAATATTAATTAACCGACCCATTAACCACTAAAAAATAACGTTTGCTTAAAGCAGTGATAATAACAATGTATTATGTAAGCATATAATGTGAATAAGTAAAATGAAAGGTACAATGTCAAAAGGATGGGAGGCAAGAATTAGAAACACTGTGTCATAGTGTCCCTGCACTATATGTGAAATGGTAGTTTTATTTGAAAGTAGACTTATACGGATTACAAATCTATACCATCAACTGTAGGGTAGCCACTAAAAAATTAAAAAATAAATAGGTATATGTGATCTACTAAGAAAGAAGATAAAATAGAATCACATAAGATGCTCAACTGAAATTATTCAAGTCAGGAAAAGAAAAATAACAAAGAACAAATGCCACAAATAGACAACAGTTACAAAAATAGATCTATTAATCCAATTTCATCAATATTGTGAATGATCAAAATATACCAATCAAGATAAAAAGATTGTAAGAGTGGACCAAAAAACAAAAAGACCCAATTGTGCTGTTACAAGAAACTCACTTTTCTATAATTACTCAAATAAGTTAAAAGTAGAGTTGAAGCCAATGGCAACTAGCACACATAGTGACCCACATTTTGATTTCTAACACTATTCTATGACAAAAAGACCCAGAGCTCCTTGGTGAAATGATTGATACCAGGTTTGAGTCAGGAAATATACAAGATAAGCATAGATCATAGTGTACCATCAATAATTACCCGATGCTGGTGGGGGTGGAGAAGATTATGATATGTCAAAAGGATACTGAGCACTTTGGAAAGCTGAGATGAGAGGTTTGTTTGAGGCCAAGAGTTCAAGACAAACCTGGGCAACATAGAAAGTCCCCATCTCAACAAAAGATATACAAATTACCTGGGTATGGTGGCATGTGTCTGTAGTTTCAGCTATTCGGGAGGCTGCAGCGGGAGATTCACTTGAGCCCAGAGGTCGAGGCTGCAGTGAGCCGTGATGGTGCCAATGTGATCCAGCTCTGGCAACAGAGCAGCAGACACTGTCTCTTAAAAATAAAATAAAAAATGGTATAAAAGACATCTGAAAGACACCCCTGACCACCACCACCAATGGCCAAGCATTCTGAACAACATAAATAAAGTAGCTCGGCTTAAAACCTAAAATGTAAAACAAATATTAACAGAATCATTCCAACATTAATAAATGATTGAATAAAAAATTGATGGGAAAATAATCAAATATACTATGTAAAATTCCAAATAATTTATGAAAACACTCCCGTGGCAAGGAGGTAGAGAATAACTCCCCACTATTTAAGTGGGCTGTGCACAGTGCTTTTCTTCCAGCGAATACAACACAGAAAGGGAAGAAAAACACAAAAGCAATTTCACATTGGGGAAAAATGAAAAATACTACCTCAAGCCAAAGATAAGTTTCACATCAAAGTGATGTCATATGAAAAGTGTTGATCCCTGAGAAACCAGGAGCCAAGATGGCTGACTAGATGCAGCAAGGACAAATAGCTGTCCAAAGGAGACCAGGACACTGGGAAGACTAGTACACTCTAGACATACTCATGTAAGATGGACAGAGGACACCGTCGCTGATCTAGAGAGGAAGGAAGCTGGGAACCCTGCATGGGGCTACCAAGCATCAGGACTTGTTCCTGGCTCCCAGAGATTCCTGACGAAGGGGTGAATTGAACAGGCAAGGAGTGACTCACTCTTGTCACAGCCTTCCAGGATCCTGGCATCAGGGGACTCTACAATCCCAACAGACACCTGAGCTGCTACAAAGAACTGTTTGTCTAGGTGGTAGGGGTAGGACCCCACCCTTTGTGGAGCCCAGAGTGTTTGGTGCAGGAGTGTCTGCTATGGAGCACAGGCAAGGACACCCATCCCCCCCAAGGCTTATCATGCTCCTCTAGGAAGGTTTAGCTTTGGAATGACTGTTGAACCTGAACAGGGCAGTAGAGGTCTTGCCCATGGGATGGGGCCAGTCTGATCTGAGGACACCCCCATCTGCTGTCCTCTCCTGGGGCCTCAGCCTAGCTGCTTCCATGTGCAGTGCATCCTAGGACATCTAACCAGGGTGTTTCTTGGTGGCCCTCATCATAACTCGTTGGCTGGTAAACCACGCTTGACCATTGGAAAGCTCCAACAGAGTGGCCCCTGCCAAAGTTCACCAGGCCACCCACACTCTCCCTCCACAACAACCTCCCCCACACCATGTTGCTGGCACACACTCGCCCAAGGCCATCACCCACTGATATTACCCATGCCTGCATACACACACATGCAATTAGCTTCCTCTCACCAGTGGGCACACAAGCGCCACTCTGCACAACTCCTGCCACTACAAGATGATCACATCCCAAAGAGCCCCTACTCCATGACATGTGGGGACCCAGCAATGCTGCCATAGCTGGTACCAACAGGGAACAAACCCTAAAAATTCTGCCTCACTTGTGCTGACATGCAGCTGCAGCAAAGTGTGCACAGACACTGACAACCCTGTCCTCACCTGCACCGTGCCCCCACCACACCACCAGTGCAAGCACACGGGAACACTGCAGCTCTGCTTCCCAGGTAACCACCCACCCAGTCAACACACATGCACAATTGCTGCACTGCTGTGGCTGCTGGCATGCACAAGAGAGAACAGATCCCACTGCCACTGGGTGACAAAACCCTTTAACCATCACCACCCATCAGACTGCTGTGGCCAGCAGATTGGAAACACCTTGGATCTTCCAGTGCAGCATGTTTTTAAATTCAAGGGGCCAGATAACAAAGCTGGGACTCCGTGCCAATCCCCAAGAGTTAGAGTACATATTCCAGGAGTGCTGTGCTGAATCTTGGCCCCCTAAAATCTTTCAGAAATGGGGCCAGTCAACTGAACCCACCATATACCACAATCAAACCTCCAAGTGCACCAAAGAAGATAAAAGAAAAAAAAAAACACACACTCAAAGGACAACATAAAAGACTGAAGGAACACCAGGCCACAAAGATGAGAAAGAAACAGTACAAGAACTCTGAAAACTTGCAAAGCCAGACTGTCTTCTCACCTCCAGGCAATGACACTAGTTCCTCAGCAATGGTCCTTAGCAATTAAAATGAATGAAGCAACAGAAATAGAATTCATAATATAAACAGAAACAAAGCTCATCAAGAATCAGGATGAAGTCTAAACTCAATCCAAAGACTCTAAGAATATAATAAAATGATCAGGAGATGAAAGAGAAAATGGCCATTTTTCAGAAAGAACCAAACTGATCTGATACTGCTTACAAACTTACTTCAAGAATTGCATAACACAATTGCAAACATTAACAGCAGAATTGACCAAGCTGAGGAACTTCAGAGCTAGAAGACCGGTTGTCCAAAATAACTCAGACCAAAATAAAGAAAAAAACAATGAAGAAGAAAGAAAAACCTTCAAGAAATATGGAATTATGTAAAGAGACCCAAATCTATGACATTGGCATCTCTGAAAGAGAGAGAAAGCAAGCAACTTGGAAAAAAGACTTTTAGGAAATTGTCCATGAAAATTTCCCTAACCTTGCTAGAGAGGCCAACATTCAAATTTAGGAAATGCAGACAACACCTGAGAGATGCCATTCAAGATGGCCATACCCAAGACACATTGGCATCAAATTTTTCACATTTGAAATAAAAAAAAAATGTTCTGTGAAGCTAGAGAAAAGAGGCAGGTCACTTTCAAAAGGAACCCCTCTAGGCTAACAGCAGAACTTTCAGCAGAAACCCTACAAGCCAGAAGAGATTGAGACCCTATATTTAGCTTATTAAAAAAATAAATTCCACCCAAGAATTTCATATCCAGCCACACAAGCTTAATAATCAAAGAAGAAATATAATCCTTTTCAGACAGGTAAATTTTGAAATAATTCATTACCATTCAACCTGTCTTACAAGAGGTCCTTAAGGAAGTGCTAAGTATGGAAAGGAAAGACCATTATTGACCACCACAAAAATGCGTTTACATACATAGAGCATTGCCACTATAAAGCAACCCCACAATCAAGTCTGCACAAAAACCAGCTAACAACATAATGACAAGATCAAATCTGTATATGTTAATATTAACCTTGAATGTAAATGGGATATATGCTTCAATTAAAAGGCACAGAGTAGCATATTGGATAAAGAAGCAAGACTCAAGAGATCCATTTCACATGCAATGATACCCATAGGCTCAAAGTAAAGGGATGAAGAAAAATCTGCCAACCAAACGGAAAACAGAAAAGAGCAGAAGTTGATATTCTAATTTTAGAAAAAACAGACTTTTAGCCATAATCAAAAAAGACAAAAAGAGGAGCATTACATAAAAGTGAAGTGTTCAACTGAACAATAAGATCTAAATATCCTAAATATATATTCACCCAACACAGGATCACCCAGATTCATAAAGTAAGTTCTTAGAGACCTATGAAGAGACTTATATAACTGCATAATAATAGTGGGAGACTTCACCACCACACTGACAATATTAAACAGATCATATAGGCAGAAAGCTAACAAAGATAGCTGGGACCTAAACTTGATATTTGACCAAATGGACTTAGGAGACATCTACAGAACTCTCTATTCAAAACCAACACATTACATACATTCTTCTTTTTTCCCATATAGAAAATACTCTAAAGTCCACCACACAATCAAACATAAAACAATTCTCTAAAAATTAAAAAAAACTAAAATAATACCAAACAAACTCTCAGACCACAGTGCAATAAAAATAGAAATCAATACTAAGAAAATTGCTCAAAACCATTGCATTGCATGGAAATCAAACAACCTGCCCCTGAATAACTTCTCAGTAAGTAATGAAATTGAGGGAGAAACCAAGAAGTTATCTGAAACTAATGAGAACAAAGATACAACATACCAGAATCTCTAGGACACAGGTAAAGCAGTGTTTAGAGGGAAACATTTAACTCTAAACACACACATCAAAAAGTTAGAAAGATCCCGGCCGGGCGCGGTGGCTCACGCCTGTAATCCCAGCACTTTGGGAGGCTAAGGCGGGCGGATCACGACATCAGGAGATCGAGACCATCCTGGCTAACATGGTGAAACCCCGTCTCTACTAAAAATACAAAAAAATTAGCCGGGCGTCTTGGCGGGCACCTGCAGTCCCAGCTACTTGGAAGGCTGAGGCAGGAGAATGGCGTGAACCCGGGAGGCGGAGCTTGCAGTGAGCCGAGATCGCGCCACTGCACTCCAGCCTGGGCGGCAGAGCGAGACTCCTTCTCAAAAAAAAAAAAAAAAAGTTAGAAAGATCCCAAATTACCAACTTAACATTAAAACTAGAGAAACTGGAGAAACAAGAGCAACCCAGCCCCAAAGCTAGTAGGAGAAAAGAAATAACCTAAATCAGAACTGAACTGAAGGAAATTGTGATATGAAAGAAAAACCATAAGAAAGGTCAATGAATACAGTAGTTGGTTCTTTGAACGACTAATACGATAGATAGACCACTAGCTAGACTAATAAAGAAAAGACAGAGCGAGACTCCATCTCAAAAAAAAAAAAAAAAGAAAAACAAAAACAGAATAACCAAATAAACACAATCATAAATGACAAAGGGCACATTACCACCAACCCCATAGAAATAAAAACACTCTCAGAGGCTACTATGAGCACCTCTTTGTACACAAACTAGAAAACCTAGAAGAGGTGGATACATTCCTCAAAATGTACAACCTTCCATGGTCGAACCAGCAGGAAATTGAATCCCTGAATAGACCAACAACAAGTTCTGAAATTGAATCAGTAATAACAAGCCTACGGACCAGAAAAAGCTCAGGACCACATGGGTTTATAGCTTAATTCTTCAAAACATAAAGAGCTAGTATCATTCACACTGAAACTATTCCAAAAAATTGAGAAGATACTCCTCTGTAATTCATTCATTGACGCCAACATCACCTTGATACCAAAACTTGGCAAAGACATAAGAAAAAGAAAAAAAACTCCAGGCCAATAACTCTGAGGAACACTGATGCAAAAATCCTCAACAAAATACTTGCAACCAGAATCCAGCAGCACATCAAAAAGCTAATCCACTAAAATTAAGTAGTCTTTATCCTGAGATTCAACATTGTTTTAACTCACATAAGTCTATAGACGTGATACATCACACAAATAGAACTAAAAACAAAAACTACCTGATAACTTCAATAGACTAAAAAAAGCCTTTTGATAAAATTTAGCATCCCTTCATATTAAAAACCCTCAATGAACTAAGCATTGAAGGAACATACCTCAACATAGTAACAATCATCTATAACAAACCCACAGCCAACATCAAACTGAATGTGAAAAAGCTGGAAGCATTCCCCTTGAGAACAGGAACAATCCAAGGATGCCCAGTCTCACCACTCCCATAAAATATATACTGGAAATCCTAGCCAGAGCAATCAGGCAAGAGAAAGAAATAAAAGTTATCCAAAATAGGAAGACAGAAAGTCAAACTGTTTCTGTTTTTACACAATATGATTTCATACTTAGAAAACTGAATAGTTTCTGCCCAAAAGCTCATAGATTTGATAAACAAGTTCAGCAAAGTTTCGGGATATAAATCAATATACAAAAATTAGTAGCATTTCTATACACCAACAACATCCAAGCTGAAAGTAAAATCAAGACTGTAATCTGGTTCACTATAGCCACAAAAAGAATAAAATAGCTAGGGATACAACTAACTAAGGAGGAGAAAGATCTCTATAATGGGAATTATAAAATGTTGCTCAAAGAAATCAGAGCTAACATAAATAAATGGAAAAATATTTAATGCTCATGGATAGGAATAATCAACATTGTTAAAATGGCCATACTGCCCAAAGCAATTTGCAGATTCAATGTTTTTCCTCTCAAACTACCAGTGATATTTTTCATAGAATCAGGAAAAAAATATTTTAAAATGTGTATCAAACCAAATAAGATCCTGGATACTCAAGGCAATCCTAAGCAAAAAGAAAAAAGCTGGAGCCATCATGCTACCTGACTTCAAACTATACCACAAGGCTACAGTAACCAAGACAGCATGGTACTGGTGCAAACACAGACACATAAATCAATGGAATAGAATAGAAAGCCCAGAAATAATGTTATACACCTACAACCATCTGATTTTCTACAACATTGACAAAAACAAGCAATGGGGAAAAGAATCCCTATTCAGTAAATGATGTTGGGATAACTGGCTAAATATATGCAGAAGATTGAAACTGAATCCTTTCCTTACACCATAGACAAAAAACAAAACAAACAAAACCACAAGATGGATTAGAGACTTAAGAGTAAAATCTAAATCTATAAAAACCCTGGAAGATAATCTTTGAAATATTATTCTAGACATAGGCCCTAGCAAAAATTTTATGATGAAGATACCAGAAGCAATTGCTACAAAAACAAAAATTGACAAAAGGGACCAAATTAAACTAAAGAGTTTCAGCAGATCAAAAGAAACTAACAGAGTAAACAGGCAATCTGTATGATGGGAGAAAACATTTTCAAATTATGCCTCTCACAAAGGTGTAATATCCAGAATCTACGGGAACTTAAATAAATTAACTAGCAAAAATAATCCCATTAAAAAGTGGACAAAGAGCACAGACACTTTTCTTTTTTTTTTTTTTTTTTTTTTTTTTGAGACAGAGTCAGTCCATGACCCAGGCTGAAGTGCAGTGGCTTGATATCGACTCACTGCACTGCAACCTCAGCCTCCCGGGTTCAAGCGATTCTCCTGACTCAGCCTCCTGAGTAGCTAGGATTACAGGCACACGCCACCACACTCGGCTCTTCTTTTGTTTTTTGTAATTTTTTTTGTTTGTTTTTTATTTGTAGTAGAGATGGGGTTTAGCCATGTTAGCCAGGCTGGTCTCAAACTCCTGACCTCAAGTGATCCCCCTGCCTTGGCCTCCCAAAATGCTGGGATTATAGGCATGAGCCACCATGCCCAGCCAGGAACAGACGCTTTTCAAAAGAAGACATACACATGGCCAACAAGCACATGAAACAATGTTCAACATCACTAGTCATCAGAGAAATGCAAATGAAAACCACAACGAGATACCATCTCATACTAGTCAGAATGACTATTATTAAAATGTCAAAAAATTACAGATGGCAAGCTTATGGGAATAAGGGATGCTTATACTGCTGGTGGGAATGTAAATTAGTTTAGCCATTGTAGAAAGCAGTTTTTGGAGATTTCTCAAAGAACTTAAAACAGAACTACTATTTGACCCAGCAATCATATACCCAAAGGACCATAAATTGTTCTACCATCAAGACATGCATGCATATGTGCATCACAGCACTAGTCACAATAGTGAAGACATGGAATCAACCTAGATTCCCATCAACAGTGGAATGGTTAAAGAAAATGTCATAGCATATACATCATGGAATACTATACGGCCAGGAAAATAATGAAATCATGTTCTTGGAAGCCATACAAATGGTGCTAGAGGCCATTATCGTAAGTGAATTAATGCAGAAACAGTAAATCAAATACTGCATGCTCTCACTTATAAGTGGGATTTTAACCTTGAGTACACACGGACCCAAAGAAGAGATCAACAGACACTGGGTCGACTTGAGTGGAGGGTGTTAGAGGGTGAGGATCAAGAAACTACCTATTGGGTACTATGCTTATTGCCTGGGTGATAAAATAGTCTGTACACCAAACCTCCGTTACATGCAATTTACCTATGTAACAAATGTACACGTATACCCCTGAACCTAAAATAAAAGTTAGAGACAAAAAAGATTATGTAGCCTTGATATAATGTGGTGAAAATACCACTTTATCTCTGTGGTCTTCCTCTGGAAAACACATTATTGCAGTGTATAGTTTCCCAGGGCTACTAAATTCCCAAGGATTGAGTGTTTTAAAATAAGAGGAACTTATTCTCTTACAATTATGGAGGCTAGATGTTTCAATAAGTTTTACTGGATTGAAATCCAGGTGTCCATAGGGCAGTACTTTCTTCAGGAACCTAGTAGATAATCTGTTTTTTGCCTCTTTCATCTTCTGGTGGCTGCAGCATTCCTTTGCTTGTGGCTACACAACTCCTATCTCTGCCTCTGTCTCCTCGTCTTCTATGTGTATAATGTCTCCATCTTATCTCTCCTAAAGAACATTTGTTATTGGATTTAAGTCCAAGTAAATAATTCAGGATAATCTCCTTATGTCAGTGTTCTTAACTAAATGATATCTTTAAAAACTTTTTGTAGGAAGGTAATATTTTTATGTTCCAGTCATTGGAAACTGATATCTTTTGGTGTTTTTTTTTTTTTTTTTTTTTTTTTTTGAGACAGCATCTCACTCTGTCACCCAGGCTAGAGTGCAGTGGTGCAATCCTGACTCACTGCAGCCTCCAACTCCCAGGCTCAGGTGATCCTTCCACTTCAGCCTCCCAAGGATCTTGTACTACAGGCAAGTGTCACTACGCTTGACTAATTTTTGTAGAGATGGGGTTTTGCCATGTTGCCCAGGCTGGTCTCGAACTCCTGAACTCAAGTGATGTGCCCATCTCAGCCTTTCAAGTGCTAGAATTACAGGCATGGACCACCATGCATGGCCTGGGTGGTCATTATTAAATCTACTACCAAAAGTCTAACATGAGTGAAACATTTAAAAGATCTCAATTGAAAACACTTTCTCAGTAATCTACCAGTCATCAAGGTCATCAAAAATAAGAAAAGTCTGTGAAACTGTCACAACCAAGAGGAGACTGAGGACACACGACTACTAGATATGATGTAATATCCTGATTGTGATCTTGAAAAAATAACAACAAAAAAAGACATTAGGAAAAATGTGAAAATTCTGATTAAAATATGGATTTTAGTTAATAATGATGTAGAAATATTGTTTCATTGTTTATGACAAATTTACTAAAATTATTTAAATAATTATATTATAAAAAACTGGGTATGGATATATGAAAACTATACTATTTTTGTAATTATTCTGCAAATATAAAAATGTTCTAGTAATACTTATTAAAATAAAAAATTGTATTTAAATTTTCAAAAATTGAATCAGCATTTACAAGTATCCTGGCTGTTTCTTGCAGGACTGCTATGAAACTATGTAGAACAGTAGCATGTGTTAGATGCCCTGCTTCTCTTTTGCCTTCTTCCCGCTGCAGCCCGCTCTCAGTGTGACAGCAGGAATTGTGACTAGTACGGTCTTACTGACTCACCATTGCCCCGTATAGCCTTGTGTACAGAGGTGAAACATAATAATAAATGACAGGGAAAAGAAGCGAGAGTAGCTAAGAGAATACAATTTTCTCAAATTGGATTACTAACAAGTGAAAAATGAAGACATATGGACATTTTTTCCATCAACATAAATTGTGTCATCCTCTTAAATATAGGCCTTATAAATATAATATGTAGAATAAAATTATCAAATTTAAATGTAAAACTCTTGGTTGTAAAATAGTGATGATGCACTGCACATATATACATAAAATGAAAATGGGTACTGTTTATATGTTTCTTAATATTGTTATAGAAATAGATATTATAAATAAAATTTTGTCAAGATTCATAAAGGGGTTGAGATTTATTTGTACCTGCAAACTAATGAGTGAGCCACCTACAATAACAGTATTATGAATGCTGACAGAAGACACGGGACTCACGGGTCAGAGATAAATGAATTTATCATTCTTTACAATAGCAGTAGCCAGAGTATTAGTATTTGTACCAGTTCCTCGAGATTTAGTTTCCTCAGTTTCTCCCACTTATATGAAGAGAACAAAATGATAACAGAATGAATATAGTTACATATATTCAGAGAGACAGAGAGAAAAAAATTTTTGTAAGGACTTTGCTTACATTATTATGGAAACTGACAGATCCCAAGAACTGCAGGGTGAATTGGAAGGCTTGAGATTCAGGAGAAATGGTGTAGTTCTATCCCAAAAACTGGCAGGATCAATATTCAAGATGAGCCAATGTTTCAGTTCAAGTCAAAGGCAGAGAAAAAGCTGATGTCCCAATTCAAAGGTAGCTAAATAATTTTCCTCTTAAACATCATTTTAGTTCTATTTAGTGCCTCAACTGATGAGATGAAGTGTTCCCACATTAGGGAGGGCAATCTACTTTACTCAGTCTATCAATTCAAATGTTAATCTCAGCCAGAAATACTCTCACAGACACACCCAGAATAATGTTTAATCAGATACAGTCATGCATAGCATAGCGATGTTTCAGTCTAGGATGAATTGCACATCCAACAGAGGTCCCATAAGTTTATAAGACCATATTTTTACCAGAACTTTTCTGTGTTTAGACACACAAATATTTATAAATGTGTTACAATTGCCTACAGTATTGACTGCAGTAACACGCTGTTCAGATTTGTAGCCCAGGAGCAATAGGCTATACCATATAGGCCAGGTGTGCAGTAGGCTGCACCATCTAGGTTTGGTGAGTATACTCTATAATGTTCACACAACAATGGAATTGCCTAACAATGCATTTCTCAGAAGGTATCTCCATCATTAAATGGTGCATGACTGTATCTGGACACCCCATGGCACCGCTGAGTTGACATATAAAATTAACTGTCACAGGCTGTCAGCCTTCCTGAATTTGGCTCCAAAGGAGATATTAAGCTAATTTGACAAGTAAGCCTGTTATTGCCTCTAGTGGAGACACGATCTCTAATTTCAAGGCAGCTCATGCCAAACACATCCTTGAAATGATGGTCTAGACCAAAGGCAGGCACTATCTCTACTCACAAGACATGCAAAAATACAAGAGACTATGGAGAATTGTTTACCAACAAATTTGAGATCTTCTTGTCTCCATAACTAAAAATATTCAAATGGACAAGTATTTTATAAGTGTAATGGAATGCTTTTGGCGTTTGATATGATGAGGTTAGAAGTACAAACTTACATACGTAGGAGAGATTGGGGAAAGTGCTTCCCAAACTACATATGCAGGTAATGATATAAGTTGTAAAAGTTTTAAAATTTGCCAGCGATTCCACACATAAACGTGAATATAGAACCATGGCTATGAAGAAGTGATTTGCCAGAACATTACAGAACTTAATTTTGAAACCCAGTTTTAGGTAAATTGTTCCCATAGTGTGCTATAAAAATACTTCATCATTTTTACTTGTACGTAGTTTAATAGAAAGAATATCCAGTTAATATTACGTAAATATTTTATGTTTCACTTGTATTAGATAATGAACAAATTAGGTCAGGTTGATGAATGTGTTCATTTTTCCAAATTATCTTCCTGAAAAATAAAAACAACAAACCAATAAGCCTTCTTCTAATAATACCTAAATTAAAAATATTGAAGATTTCTTCACATCTTTAAGGGATACTTATTTATGTCTTTAAAGAATACCAGTATTGCTACTGTCTCTCAACAGGTTTTGAAAGATCCATCAGCAAATTCACAATAGAGCAACATTTTTGTTAGAATTTATTTGAAGTTAATTTTCAAATTAACATTTTACTTTCTTACATACAGTATATTGCCTGCCAACTCTAAATTATAAAAACATTATTTTATTTTTATATAAATATATTCTCCAATACTGTTGGCAATAAAAATAAATATACTAACTATAATGAAACATATTTCATTATTACCTGAGGTCAACATTTTTTAAGGAAAAACCATCCAATTTACTACATAAAGCATGATAAAAACCTTTATGAAGACATCCCCAAAGTTATTTTCTTTTACACATTTATGAGCCATTACTCCTTGCCTTTTATTATGAATTTTCATATATGCATGAAATCATAGTAAAATAGGATTATGGTTTGTATATTTGGAACATTGCATAATTGTATAATCCTGTATGTACACAGTACTGTGTACCAAGAAAGTGTATTGCAACTAATATTTTTAACCCAAAATTATATTGTAGATATATCTTTGATGAAGAAAACAGCTGCAATCCATTAATTTTCATTGTTACATAGTAATCTACTTTATGAATTCACCTCATTATATGAATCTATTCTTCTGACAACAGACATTTGGTATGGTTCTACTACCTGTCATAACAAACGACATCTCTAAAAACATACTTGTATGCATATTAATGCACACGAGCAGTGATTTCTCTAGAGCTTATACCTAGGATACTCATTGCAGAGAATTAATTTACATGCATCTTTAATTTTACAAGCTAAATTCAAAGTGATCTCCAGATAGTTATAACAATTTACCAGCAGGGAACAAGCATTTCCATATTCCTATATTCTTTCCAGTACCTAGAATTGCCTGGATTTTTAAAAATCTTTGACCAAGCTGTTGTGCTCAACTTTTATATTTTATTTGCCATTTTTTATTCTTTTCTAAAACAATTGTTAGTTGTTTCTTAAACTTAACTCTCCAGGGCCCACATAAAACATTTCTACTATAACATGATGTTTTTCTCTCTCTAGAATGCTTTATGAGGATTTTTAAGTTATTTGTTAAATATATGATACTAGTATTATGCATGCATCAAAACTTTCATATTTTGAGAAATTTTATTTCTCAAATATTTCATATTTTAAGAAGAATGATAATACTATTATTCATCATTCAGATTTAAATACTTTAAATATGTCCTAAAAAATTATGGAGCAAGGCTGGGCATGGTGGCTCATGCCCGCAATCCTAGCAATTTGGCAGACCAAGGCTTGAGGATCATTTGAAGTCAAGAGTTTCAGAACAGCCGGGATGGCAAAGTAAGACAACAACTCTACAAAAAAAAAAAAAACTAATTAAAAAATTAAAAAATTAGATGGGCATTGTGTCACATGCCTGTAGTCTTAGCTTCTTGGGAGGCAGAGGTGGGAGGATCACTTGAGCCCAGAAGTTTGATACTACAGTGAGGTATGATGGCTTCACTGCACTCCAGCCGAGGGAGTGTGCTATTCTATTTCATTATTTCCTTATATACCAATCTAATTTATCCATTCATAGCCTATTCTGATTACTTGTTCATATGAGGTCCTCCTCTTGTTTTATTTTGTATTTTTATTTTTGTTCTTATGTTTCCAACATTTACTCAATCTTCATGCTATAAATACTGAACTTGACAGTATCTTTGCAAATTATGTAGTATTCTCTTTAAAATAAAAATAATCTACAGCAATAGTCCATCATCCCAACCCTACTCTTTTACTAATTTTGTGAGTCACCCATGTGATATGCTTTCCTCTATCTGTCCAATCTATCTCTATCTATGTATCTCTATCTCATCTATCTACCTATGTATCTATTTAGATATTAAAAAAGAGAGAGAGAGGAAGAGATAGTTTGTAAATCTTACAATTATCTCCAATTCCTTGTCTTGCAAAATATGTTACAATAAAATAATCCTGTATTTCTCCTTATGAGAATTTTCTAGGATATGTATTAGAGATCAATACATCTGGATCAAATGGCAAAAATACATTTTATTTTATTAGAATAAATGAAACATCAACCCACATTCCATTCATACACTAAATATTTATAAGTACCCTACTATGTTCCAGGCATAATTATTAGTGCTAGGAATACTTCTGGAACAAATATTCTTAAAAAGAAAGAAACTGCTTTAGGAAGACTCACATATTAATAAGTGTATAAAAACATTAAACATAATTAAGTTTCAATATTTATTATAATGTTACAAGAGCCATAAAAGTAGTAGAGAAGGTTTTGGAAGTCCTGGAATATAAGAGGAAGGGTGTTCATATTATGCCTCCTATAGTTTGACCGGAGACTTGATGGATTCATGCTGATATATGGAAGGGAACATTCCTGGCACATGGAACAGACATTTCAAAAGCCCTGTGGTGGAAATATAGCTTAATGTTCAAATGACAGATATAAGCTGATGTGGCTGAAGCAGAGTGACCCAATGTAGAAGTGAAATACAAGAATACTGGAGAAGGTGGAAGAATGTGTGGAGCCTTGTAGGCTTTTACTTAGAAAGACATGAAGAGTCACTGGTGGAGTTCGAGCAGAAAAGTTACATCTTCTGACTCTTCTATCAACAACATCAATAAAGCTGCTGTGTTGAGAATATGTTGTACAATGAAGATGGTGGATATAGGAGAATGCAATAGGAGGCCATTTTAATAGTAGAGGAATAAAATCATTGTAGCATGGAAAGTATGATTTTAGTAGAAAATGGAAAGTGATTAAATTCTAAATATATTTCAAAATTTGATCCAAGAGAATCTTCGAAAGATGTAATGTGGGGTATCAGAAAAATATGACTCGAATATTTTTGAGCAGTAACTAAAGAAAGACCAATGAATAGTGCATATATTGCAGAGTGTGTGAAGAGGGTTGAAGAAGTTAACTTTTGGGTATGCTAACTTTGAGATTACTGCAGATGCCCCTTCATTTATGATGGGATTATTTCTCAAAAAGTCTATCGTAAGTTGAAAATATCATAAGTGGAAAATACATTTAACACACCTAACCTAACGAACACTATAGCCTAGCCTAGCCTAAATTAAACATACTCAGAACACGTCTATTAGTCTACAGTTAGACAATATTATCTACCACAAACCTATTTTCTAATAAAGTGTTGAGTAGCTCATGTAATTTATTGAATACTGTACTAAAAGCAAAAAACAGAATGGTTATGGGTACCCATAGTACAAGTTCTACTGAACATGTATCACTTTCACACCATCATAAAATCAAAACATCATAAACTGAACAGTTGTAAATCTCTACTAGCCATACACATAGAGATCTAAAATTAGAAAGTGAATATATATATCCTGAATTCAGGAAGAGATCCCACAGATCATTTAAATATGTGAGCCATTAGTAAAAAGACAGTACTTAAAGCAAAGGATTAGATGAGATTACAGAGGCAAAGTACCTAGATAAAGAATATAGGAGGTCCAAAGATTGAACATTGAGGTAATCCCAAATGAAAAGGATGAAGTTTGCCAGCAAACAAAATAGCCATTGAGACTGAAAGAAAAGTAAGTGTGTGTTGTCTTGGACACAGTCTAACAAAAAACTGCTGATAAATAGAGTAAAACATGGACTAAGAAACAATGACTGGATTAAGAATGTGCATCAGCAGTACACATGAATTTGCATTGCCCTACATTCTCACAAGCATATTGTGGACAATCTGATTTTTAAAAATTATTTAGTGCTGTTTATAATCATGATCTTTCATTGCTAATGAGTTTGATAATTTTTTCATAATGTCATAAGATCATTTCCCTCGTTCTGGCACAGAAACCCTAAATTTTGATTTAATTGAGTATATCAATATATATACCTTCTATTTCACACTTTTTGCGTCTTGTATTTTTTTTAAAAATGCTGTCCAAAATTTATTTTATCTGTTGTATTAGTTTGTTTTCATGCTGCTGATAAAGACATACCCAAGACTGGGTAATTTATAACAAAAAAGAGATTTAACGGTCTCATGTTTCCACAAAACTGAAGAGGCCTCACAATCATGGCGGAAGGTGAAAGGCATGTCTTACACGGAGGCAGGCAAAGAGAGAATGAGAGCCAAGCAAAAGTAGAAACCCTTTATAAAATCATCAGCTATTGTGCGACTTATTCACTACCATGAGAACAGTGTAGGGGAAACCACCTCTGTGATTCAATTAGCTCCCTCTGGATTCCTCCTATGACACATGGGAATTATGGGACACATTAATTTGAAATGAGATTTGGGTGGGGACACAGCCAAACCATGTTACCTGTCATATTTAATTATTATTACACTAGTAACCCAACCTTCATTTGAGGTGTAAAATCCAACCTACTTTTCTCTTTACTGAGAACCATTTTTGATAATGACATCTCTTAAATAATTCACTCTTATTAATTTGTGCACTTTTAATTTTATGTTAGATTCTCACATATGCGTAGTTTTCTTTGGTATTCTCTATTCTGTTCTGTTGGTCTATTTTTCTTTTCCTGTGCCAATACCACATTGTTTTTCATTGATATACTTTTATAGTATTTCTTAATATCTTATATACAGAGTCCACAATTTTTGCTCTATTTCAAAATTGACTTAACTATTCATAGACATTTCCTCAAATATAATTTTGTACCAAGTTCCCAGGGTTAATTTTGGTGACATGTATATTGTTTATGGACTGATGCTGTGACAGAAAATATAATCTTGGGACCCCAAACTCACTATGCCAAAGGGAAAGTTAAGCTTGGGAACTGAGTCATGCAACACTGCCTTCCTTTTCTTCCCAAATAGCTGTAATTTTACAACCCTGTGTCACAGCCCCATCCATAAGCCATGTTCCCACAACACAGAAGGCCACATAACTCCCCAGATGGGCTCCCTCACAAATTGCTTGGAAAGAAATGCCTCGAACTTTGCTTAAATCAACCTCTATCAATTAAGACACCTGCTCCAGTCATTTTTTGGTTAACACTACAAACAGATTTTAATACCTTTAAAGTGCTAGGTCATTTTGTCTGTGTTCATATTGTACGTTTGATTTTTCATATGTTCTGTTATATCTTTCATAGACGTTTATATTTTTTGTATGAAGCCTATGCATTACTTACCATTAACTTTCAGCTAATTTATAGACCTTCTTTGCTACTATAAATATATATTAATTTATATTACATTTTCTAGTAGGTTTTGCTGAGATGAAAACATCACTGCTGACTTTTTATAATTAATTTTGTATCTGAAATAATTGCTGAGCTTGTCATTTATTTCAATATTTTGTAAGTTAATCATGTTGGGATTTCTGAGTAGATGATTATATCATCCTCCCCTTAAATCTCTCTCTCTTAGTTTTTATAATGTCCACCAAAATCTCCAGTGCCTTACTAAGTTGCCTTCACATTTTCCCTTTTTTTTCTGCTGCTCAATATTTAATGTTGATGAAAATGTGGAGAAAAGGGATCCCTTGTACACTGTAGGTGGGAATGTAAACTTGGTATAGCCACTATGGAAAACAATACAGTGATTACTCAAAAAATTAAAAATGTAATTTCCATGAGAAGAGAAAGAAAGAAAGACTTCTGTCTACCTGATGAGGCCGGCATCATAACTCACTTCATCCACCATGAAGTTTCTCAAAACGTGCATGTATGTGTGTGTGCGCATGTGCATGTACATTCCCTCAGACTCAATTTCCCTGTTACATCTGTCAGAGTTGCCTAGCCATATTATTTGGTTATCTTGTCTGCATCATGATACAAAATGTTAGCTCTGAAATTATTTGATAATACTGAAGCCCTTTTTAGCCTATTCATATTTTATACTATTTAAGTTTAATAAAAATATAAAGACTAATTCCAGGTACATCTCTATACATTTTCTAAATTTAAAAGAGAAATACGTAGTTTCCAATTTTTCTAACAAGTCATAAAGTTGAAATTTTTCAATGCCCTTTCCTCCAGTTGGCATGCTGATTTACTTCTCTTAAGCAACAAATACAATAGTATATAAATGAGTATAGTAAATAAGTAACTATTTTAAGGATTTAAAAGTATATCTATAGATGTACAGTAAAATACTGCAATTAAAATAACTGTACATTTTGTAGAAATCTGCATACAAATCACAATTATGCAAATAAATCAGAAGTTGTGAACTTTCCTTGCAATGCTTAAAGTTAAAAATAGGTTCCAGATCTAAAAAACAAATCGTATTGATTTTCTTCAATGATTTTGTTTCCATACTGACACAGCATTCAAAGCAAAAAGTAAAACAAGAAATGAGGATGCCAAAAGACCATTTGAAAGGCAATCTTAGAAAAGAGGCAAGCAGAAAAAAAGCAATATAATTGCTCAACATCAATGTTACTGCTATTTAATTCATGAGACTCTATTCTCTAGCAATGACCGAGAAACATGCTTATGTCCTTCATATTTGTTCATACAAAGAACAGAAGACTAGAGCATTTACCCATCTACTACAGCACATATCAATTGAGGCTTATCGCTAAAAATATTAAGTCTTACATAGTTTCAAGTTGTGCCTCAGTAGGCTTGCATTGTTTCAAAGAAAGCCCTGTGACTGAAAATGAGACATATAGTGTGTATTCCAGGTGACATTATCAATATAAGGCAGAAATGTTATGGAATTGACCAGCTACAGCTAAAATTAGGTTAAGCCAAATGGATATGACTATGGTCTACCAAAAGAAAGAGCTATAATCCATCAATTACACTAAATTTACTATGACTTTATTTTATTATTTTGACACAGGGTCTCACTCTGCCACCCAGGCTGGAGTATGGCAGCACAATCATGGCTCACTGCAGATTCCACCTGCTAGGCCCAAATGAATGTCTCACCTCAGCCTCCTGAGTAGCTGGGACTATATACTACCACTTTAAATTCACTTTGTCATTGGGTCTTCAAGACAATGTTTACATCAAATTAAAAAAAAAAAAACTTCATAAAGAAAGGTTATAACAGTCTCTGCTCTCATGAAAATTAGATGGATATGCAGGTAAGAATTACATATATACCCACACACACAATGTGTCATTCTGATAGTAGATGAGAATAAGCATGATAATGAATATGCAGTAAGTATAAGGACAAAAAAATAGTGTTGATATTTGTGTGGATGTTCATAAGATTTAGTAATTCCAGCCCCCTTAAAAGACTAGCTTATTTAATGCTAGGTTTGACTTAATACTCAGTCTCTAGGTGTAGAATATCTTCTAATGAAAACCTCAATAAATGTATATTGCCTAAAGAGGTTAGGATATAATAAAACCCATTTTGGATTATGGAAATAACAAGTCATCAGTGCATTCTGAAGAAGGTATATTTATCTTAAGCAAATGCATACTGACATTTTCATTTTTAGTTTAGAAAATTTATGTATATAGTTCTTGCTGAAGGAAAAGAAGCAGAAAATTCACTATGTATTTACACTTGATCATCTGTTAGCAGAGCTGAAAAATATGTAAATAGAATGAGTTGGTTGCATATATTACAACCTCTTCTTATGATTCCACTTTCATTTCACCATAAAACTGAGAAGCTTCTGAGAATTGAAAGATCTCAGCTTGCTCTTGGTTACTTACTTTCATCATTGATGAAGCACTTAGATTACAAAGCACCTGCATATTTTTGAAACGTTTTGCTTTACAGTTTGCAATAGACTGTAAGAATGTGTGCATGTGTTTATGGCCACAGGTAACAAGATGCAATAATGCAAAGGAGAATAATGCAATGAAATATTATTAGTGATCTCTCAGCAGAATTTCATATAGATGATAGCATATATTCTGTCACTACAGACAAGAGTATCTAGAAATCAACTACAGAACAATGGTTAACAATTTATTTAATACCTGAAGTGTTTGCAGTAGCACTTTGGAAAGACACTGTTTTGAGTGAATGATAAGGCAGCTTTCATCTAGATAACCTTAGGGAAATAATGGTTTTCACTGCACACATAAATTTTTCTCACATCAATGAAGTGTTCTTAACACAGCTAAGAAATTGTCACTTTTTAAAATAAATTGAGTAACTTTCTGTTATCTATTAAATAAGTGAAATTACTCATCTGAAGTAAATAACAATTTACCATTTGTGACTGATCAAGAATAGAAATTTCAGTCTTGCCATCTGTGCCAAAATCAAAGTCAAATACAAAATAAAAATGAGCTTAGGAAGGAGCACCAAAGACAAACAGTAGATGTAATATGGCAACCTAAGGATAGATTGTACAGTACATATTGGCATATACACTGGCTTCAGGCCATCAGTTGATAGGCACTGTCATTTATTTTTGTGGCTAACAGAAGTCAGTTAAATTAAGGTTGGGCAATTCCCATGGAGAAATACACATAATTAGAGACAAGAAGAGGAATGATGCATGTGTATGGTGATGAATTAATCAATGTGAACGTGCCTCAGAATTCACTTATCTGGCTCTACCTTTTAAAACAATCCTGTATCTCTAGTCCAGGTGTTTACAAATTATACTCTCTGTTTTTAATTTTAACACTGTTTTGGAAACTGATACTACTTTTATATGATGATCTTTTCATAGCAAAGTATCTCTGTTTTTTGAGGGTTTCTATCATTTGTATTCTCTGCTATTAATTATTGAAAATGATTAGACTCAGGCTGGGCATGGTAGCTCACGCCTGTAATCCCAGCACTTTGGGAGTCCAAGGCGGGTGGACACAAGGTCAGGAGATCTAGACCATCCTGGCCAACATGATGAAACTCTGTCTCTACTTTAGATCTACTAAAAACGCATAATTAGCCAGGTGTGGTGGCGCATGCCTGTAGTCCCAGCTACTCAGGAGGCTGAGGCAGGAAAATCGCTTAAACCCTGGAGGCAGAGGTTGCAGTGAGCAAAGATCGCACCACTGCACTCCAGCCCGGGCAACAGTGTGAGATTCCATCTAAAAAAAAAAAAAAAGAAAAGAAAAGAAAATGATTTGACTCTCACACTCCTTCTGAAATTAGATATATTTACTTTTAATATATTAAATTACATATATACTTATGTATTCAATTTATATTTATTTATTAAACTTCTGTGAATTAGTCTTTTTCCCTTTCACCCTCTCAAAGCCAGTTTTTGAGAAAGTAGCCTCCATAGAAATATGACTAGATTCTTTAAAGTTTTCCCCTAATTGGATACGTGGTTTACAAATATTTTCTGGCAATCTGTAGACTTTTTGTTTTGACTGTTTCCTTTGACTTGCAAAGTTATCTTGTTGTATTATCACTGGTTTTATTTTTTTTGTTTTGTTGCTTATGCTTTGGGTGTAGTAGTCAAAGAAATCGTCTCCCAGATCAACATTGAGGAGCTTTTTCCCTATGTTTTCTTCTAGGAATATATTCCAAGTCTTATGTTTAGGACTTTAATTATTTTGAGTTCATTTTTTGTGCTTGGTGTAAGATATGTATTCAATTTTATTCTTTTGTGGGTGAATATTCAGTTTTCCCAGCACCATTTACTGAAGAGACTATTATTTCCATATCGTGTTTCCTTGGGCCTTTGTTGTAAATTAGTAGACTGTATAATAAGCTTATGTTTATTTGGGGGCTATTATTCTGTTCCATTTTTTCTAGTGTCTTTTTTTTATGTCAGTGCCATATTATATTGATTACTGTAACTGTGTAATATTATATTGATTACTGTAACTGTGTAATATAACCTGAAATCAGAAAGTGTGATAACTCCAACTTTTTTCTTTTTTCTTAAAATAGTATTGGCTACTCAGGGTCTTTTGTGGCTCCATGTAACTTTTAAATTTATTTAAATTAAAAACTGTCATTGGAATTTTGATAGAGATTGCTTTGGGTAGTATGGACTTTCAAGAATATTAATCTTTTTAACCCATGAATATAAGAGACCTTTCCATTTATTTGTGTATTCTCCAATTTTTTATTAATGTTTTAAAGCAATAAAAACCTCAAAAATTGTGCAAAAAACCAGAATAGACTTTTTTTAAAGAAGGCATAAAAATGGCCAACAGACAGATGAAAATCTGTTCAACATTACAAATCACCAAAGAAATGCAAACAAAAGTACATGAGATGTCGTGTTACATCTGTTAGCATGGCTATTACTTTTAAAAAGCCCTATAAATTAATGTTGGCAAGAGTGTGGGGAAAAGGGTACCCTTGTACACTCACGAAAAATAATATGAAGGTTTCTTACAAAATAAAAAATAAAACTAACATGTGAACCAGTAATCCCTTTTCTGGGTATACATTCAAAGGAAATGAGATCAGTACTTTGTGGAGATTTCTAAGTTCCCATGTTCATTGCAACATTATTCACAATAGCCAAGATACAGAATCAACCTAAGTGTACATCAACTAATAAATACAGAAAGAAAATGTGGTGTGTGTGTGTGTGTGTGTGTATATATGTGTGTGTATATATGTATATATATATGTGTGTGTGTGTGTATATATATATAATGGGATACTAGTCAGCCTTTACAAAGAAAGAAATGCTGTCATTTGCAACAACACAGATCAACCTAGAGAACATTATGTTAATTGAAATAACACAGGTACAGAAAGACAAAAACTACATGATCTCACTTATATGGTATCTAAAAGTATCCAATCCATAGAAACAGACAGAGAGTGGAACCATGGTTAATAAGTGACATTCTATGAATATGTCCCTTAAAGTTCATGTGTAGGAAACTTAATCCTCAATGCTGTTAAGAGGTGGGATTTTAGGGGTGATTAGATCACAGAGTCTTTGTCCTCATTAACAGATTAATACCATTGTTGCAGAACTGAATTTTTTATCTCAAGAGTAAGGTCCTTATGAAGGATAAATGCAGCCCCCTTTCTCCATCTCTTGCTATGTGTACCATCAGCAATGTTATAATGTAGCAAGAAGGCCCTGTCAGATGCAAGCCCTCAATCTTGGACTTTCCAGTCTCCAGAGTTGCAAACCAATAAATTTCTGGTCTTTATAAATTACCTATTGTCAGGTATTCTGTTACAGAAATACAGAACAGACTAAGACACCAGGAGTAAAGAGAAGGAGGAAATGAGGAGACACAGGTCAAAGGATCCAAAATTGCAGTTACGTATGATGAATAAGTTGAGTAATCGAAGGTACAGCATGATGGCTGTAGTTAAGAATAGTGCATTGTGTACCAATGAATTCCTAGGAGAGTAGATTTCAGGTGTGCTACCACCAAAATAAATGGTGGTAATTGTGAAGAGATGGATATGTTAATTCGCTTGACTATAGTAATAATTTCACTATGGGTATGTATATTAAAGCATCATGCTGTACACCATCAATATTTACAATAAAATATAAAAGAAATGTGAATAACCTGTGTCCACCATGATGTGAGAAGCACAAGGACATGGAGGATAGATGGAATATCAGATATTGTGTGGACAGAAATATTAGCCAAGAGACTAGATATGTCAATAAAGAAGCAATTTTTGATGTCAGATCTCTAACATCAACCACCCTCTGCCTGCTTCAGAACCCTGACGGGTACACACCCCATGTGATGCCAGGTAGATAACAGATGAATGATGAAATGAGCCCATCCTAAATTCCTGACATATTGTGAGCAGCATTAAATCACTGTTTTAACCCATTATATTTACAGACAGGTTAGCATGGAGTAACATATAAGCAGACATTACTGATCTGATACAATTATCATACACAAATTTTGTTGCCACATGTTTCACTATACTCATTTATTTTCTAGTTTATTCAAGATACAGAGGCCACTTTCTCCTTGAGTAGCTCATCAAAACATAAGTCCTAGGTCTGCACAATGATTCTGAAAAGTCTTGTCCCTATAATGACAAAATAAAGTATTTGACTCTATTTAACCCAGATCCTTGGTGTTGAATTTAATATCCGGGCACGAAAGTCAGAGGCCAATCTTTAATTGTTATGAACATAAAATTCTAAGTTCTAGCTTTTGCTGTTCTTGGAACCCTAGCATTGCTAAAGGTTCTCCGTGGTTCAATCTTCAGCCCCTTGATGGAAACTATTAAGTACATTGTTGACAGATGGTGTTCCCTGTGTAAGACTTTTGAAAACTCTGACTTAAATGTTCTAATGGTACTTCAAATTCAGCATTTTCTAACTGAAAAAAAAAACTCTATATATTCACTTAATATTTTCTAACTTTTTCTTTTTTATTGCAGTTGCCTTGATTATTCAGTAACTATCAAATCTGTTACTGTTTTCCATATATTTTTCTTCTAAATATTTGTTTAATGCACTCTTTCTTCTCCATTACCACTGACTTCTTTCTGAGACATACAAGACATATTTATGTCTTGTGTAACACATATTTATGTCTGTGTAACACAGTTCAAACTGTCTGAGACAGTTCAAACTTCATTAAATCAAACTAAAAAAACCAGCACGTGTCAGAATAACATCTCTTATGGATTGAATGTCCGTGTCCCCTGAAAACTCATAGGCTAACATTTCAATCCACAATATGCTGACATTAGAAGATGTGGCCTTTGGGACGTGATTAGGTGATTAGGTCATGAGGGGAGAATCCTCATGAACGGGACTAGTGCCCCATACAAGGAGGAATAAGAGCTCTCTCTTCTCCCCTGAACACCTCCTCTCCTGCCATGTGAGAATTCAATGAGAATTTGTCAGTCTGCAATCCAGGAGAGGGCACTCAACTGAACTTGACCATTGTGGCCCCCTAATCTCAGATTTCCAACCTTCAAAATTGTGAAAAATAATTTTCTATTGTTTGTGAGGCACCTTCAAGTTTATGGTTTTTTTGTTATACCAGCCTGAACTGACTGAGGTCACATCTAAAAACATTACTACTGCTTACGGCAACAACCACATATTTTTTGAAAAGTTTACCAGGCCTTTTATAATCTGCTCTTAGTTTATTTTTCCTCTCTCACATTATTTTCTTTGACTTGTTTGATCAACTCAAAGAAAAGTTTGTAATTCCTTAATCTTATCAAGTTCATCCACAGCTTCAGATCTTTGCATACCATGTTCTCTCGGCCTGGAGCATCCCTAGTTCTCTTCAACGCCTCTGTTTTTGACTTTGTAAATGTTATTCAATCAGTGTGGGTTTAGCTCCCATTTCATGAAGAAAGCCTTCTCAGGTTTCCTGCAGTTTGGTTTATTGCTCGTCTAATGTATTATTTACTGTTAAGTAATCACAATAAAAATGGGAGTGACTTTATTTATTAATGTATCTTTATCATCTAGCCTCTGTGGTAAATTTTCAAACAATATTTGCTAAAGCACAGAATGAGTAAATTAATTGACTACTCTCTAAATTTTTTGAATGATTAATGTTCCAATAAGTAAATGAATTAATCTACTAATCAATACTTGGAAAGTGCTCACCTCTTTTAAACTTGGCAATAGTTCTCTCTCTCTCTCTGTGTCTTTCTTTTTTTTTTTTTTTGTTAGCTCTTACAGCGAAGGATAAATCTCTACAACTTTAAGGGATTTGGATATACTTAGCACGAAAACACCTCTTTATGCCTAGAGAAGTTAAATCTTTTGCCTAAGGCCATGTAACATATTAAAAGCAAACTGTATCACAACATTCCAGGGGGATTTCTCCACTGAAAGACATTGGTACATTAGTAGTTGCATTAGTGCTGTCTTGATGCTTCACAAATCACCACAAACTTAAGAGCTGAAAGCAACATGTATTTACTGTCAGGCCTCTGAGCCCAAGCTAAGCCATCATATCCCTTGTGACCTGCATGTATACATCCAGATGGCCTGAAGCAACTGAAGATCCACAAAAGAAGTGAAAATACCCTTAACTGATGACATTCCACCAATGCGATTTGTTCCTGCCCCACCCTAACTGATACAATATATTCTCCCCTGCCTTAAGAAGGTACTTTGTAATATTCTCCCCCAGCCCCATTAAGAAGGTACTTTGTAATAATATTCTCCTATTCTCCCCCACCCTTAAGACGGTATTTTGCAATATTCTCCCTGCCCTTGAGATTGTACTTTGTATGTCTATCCCAAACCTGTAAGAACTAATGATAGTCCCAGCACCCTTTACTGACCCCTTTTTCGGACTCAGCCCACCTGCACCCACGTGAAATAAAGAGCCTTGTTGCTCACACAAAGCCTGTTTGGTGGTCTCTTTACATGGATGCACGTCACATTTACTATCTTGCAAGTTCCATAGTCCTGTGCTTAGGATCTCACAAGGATGTATTCAGGGTGTCAGCTGGGGCTGAGGTTTTATCTTAGGCTCAAGATACTCTTTTAAGTTCACAAGGTTGTTGGCAGTACTCAGTTCCTTGGTTAGAAACTGATGACTTGTTTCTTTAATACCAGCAGAAGAGCACTTCTGTTCCTTCCAGGCTCTACACTTTAAAGGATTCAACTCATTAGGAGGTGATATCTACTCTGGATGATATTCCTTTTTGGGGGGAAGTAGGAGAGACCTGAGAATATAATGGGATATCAATTCCACTATTTTTTATCTTATATGTAAAGAGATTTTGCAGATGGAATTAATATCCTTAATTAGTTAAGTATTCTACTTGACTAATTTTAGTCAATTATAATACTCAGGTCTCTCCTACTTGCCAGGGAACGGGATTACACTAGGGCAGGAATCATTGGGCTTACAAGAGAGGTAATAGGGTTTTCTTTTAAATATTTTTAATAAAACTTCTGTTAGTTTCATTTGTTTAATGAAAGAGAATATTGATGTTAAAGTTGATACACTTTTTGACCACCTATTTCTAGTAGCATTTGCCTTCAATCACACTGAGACAACCACTATCACAAATTTGATAGATATGCACAACAGCTTTATATATGAACAAATGATAGATAATAATATTACTTGTAATTATCTTAAATTATACAAAAAATACCATTTACTTTATGTTATTGTAATAGCCCAACTGGTTTATCTTGCCCACTGCCCAGAAAAGCTAATGCACTGAGAACAGCAGGTTTTTGCAGCAAAGAGAGTTTAATTAACACAGCACTAGCCAAGTGAAAGACAGAGTTTGTTATTCAAATTAGCCTCCCCAAGAATTCAGAGGTTAGGTTTTTTAATGGATAATTTGTCAGACAAGGGGCTAGGGAATGGGTGCTACTGATTGGTTGAGGATGAAATCATAAGGGTGTGGAAAACAGTGCTTATGCCCTGAATCAGACTGTGGGTGAAGGTCAGGAGATTGATTGAATTATGAATCCCAGGTCCAGGATTGAGTCATAAATCACAGGTCCAGGCAGAGTCAGTGTGTAATCAGTTCAAAAAAAATTGCAAAATACCAACCTTGGGTTTCACAATGGTGATATTATCCATAGGAACAAGTGGGGAAGTTACAAAGTTTTTGACCTATGGTGTGGTAAGCAATTATGTAAAGGCAAGCTGTGCATGCATTCTGCTCTACCTGCCCAGTAATCCTAACATGTGGCCTTTCATTAGTCTTACAAAGGCAGTTTCAGTCCCTGAACAAGGAGTGAGTCAGTTTAGGGAGGGCCTACTATCATCCTTGCTTCAAAGGGAAACTATAATCTAAATTCCTGCCATGGTTAGCTTGGCTTAATGCCCAGGAATGTGAGAGGAAAGCCATCTTGCGAGGCTAGAAGCGATATGGAGTAAGCCATGCTAGACTCTTTCACTGTCATAATATTTGCAAAGGTGGTTTCATTATGTTGCTTTAAAATTGGTCTTTTTTAAAAAAATGTATATTTTGGGATAGTCTCCAGTGTATGTAAATTAAAATTATCTATGAAGTATTAGCTCAATGTTTTAATCTGGTGCATAGAAATTTTCTGCATTCCTAATGATTTCATAACTGCCTAACTGCTAACTTTCTTTTAAATAAGAGTTTTTTCAACATATCTGCAAATTTGTAACCTTCTGGTTTTTTGTTTGTTTGTTTGTTTGTTTTTGAGTCTTGCTGTGTTGCCCAGGCTGGAGTACAGTAGTGAGATCTTGGCTCACTGCAACATCTGCCTCCCGGGTTCAAACAATTCTACTCCCTCCTGAGTAGTTGGGATTACTAGCAGCTGTCACCTCACCTGGCTATTTTTTTGTATTTTTAGTAGAGATTAGGTTTCACCATGTTGGCCAGGCTGGTCTTGAACTCCTGATCTCAAATGATCTTCCTGCCTTGGCCTCCCAAAGTGCTGGATTACAAGGTGTGAGCCACCACACCTGGCAACTCCTAGTATTTTGCTGTGTTTTTCTAATTTCATATTTTGCCTCTGGAGTTAGGTGCACATACATTCATGGTTTCCACTTTTTAATTACTGTTTCTTTGTTAAATATGAAACTCTGTTGATCCATATGTATTCACAGATTTTGTATTTGCAAAATTCTACATGCTAAAATTTATCTGCAAACTCAAAATAAATTCTGATGACACTTTTTGTTCTTATCTGTAGACATGCTGAGAGTGACACAAAATGTTAGTCTTCTGATGTGTCCATTCCTAGCTGAAGTCAAACAAAGTGATACTGTGCCTTCTTTTTTCAGCTCTCTGATGAGTTGACCAGAGTGTGGAGACTGTCCAATCAGGGTGCTGTAGTGTGACAAGCTCCAGCTCTGGGAACCAGTGGGATGGGTTTGGATCCCAACTCTGACATCTGCTAATAGGATGTATTTATTTGTCAAACATATCTACCATTTTAATAGGCAACATATATTCCTTTATTTTCATTGCAATTACTGATATTTTTGTATAATTTCCACATGCTTATTTTTTCCAGGGATTAATATTTGCTACTTCTTCACGTTATTTTTATTTTTCTTGGTGTTTTTCCTAACCTGGTGAATGCTTTCTGCCCTTTTTCTACTTCTTTCAAGTTAGAAATTTTTTTATATTCCCACTTTAAAAAAGTGCTACTATGTATTTTACTAATTATTGCTTGAGCAATTTAGTGCCATGGGAGGGAGGTGCAGGATGCATTTAAAGTTACTTTTTGTATTTAATTTGCAAATAAAGAATATTTGTATATCAATAAATATTGTACATATAAGTAAAAAAACTGACAATAACAGTGATGCCAAAAGCATGCATAAAAAGGCTATAATTAGCTTTATCCCTGGATGACATATTTTAACTGAAAACAACTCTAGATATTACAGGTAAAAGAGATGAGGAGTTTAATTTCTTTTTTTAAAAATTTTATTATTATTATACTTTAAGTTTTAGGGTACATGTGCACAATGTGTAGGTTAGTTACATATGTATACATGTGCCATGCTGGTGTGCTGCACCCATTAAGTCGTCATCCCTTCCCCCTCCCCCCTCCCCTCTCCCTCCATTCCACAACAGTCCCCAGAGTGTGATGTTCCCCTTCCTGTGTCCGTGTGTTCTCATTGTTCAATTCCCACCTATGAGTGAGAACATGTGGTGTTTGGTTTTTTGTCCTTGCAATAGTTTACTGAGAATGATGATTTCCAATTTCATCCATGTCCCTACAAAGGACATGAACTCATCATTTTTTATGGCTGCATAGTATTCCATGGTGTATATGTGCCACATTTTCTTAATCCAGTCTATCATTGTTGGACATTTGGGTTGGTTCCAATTCTTTGCTATTGTGAAGAGTGCTGCAGTAAACATACGTGTGCATGTGTCTTTATAGCAGCATGATCTATAGTCCTTTTCTTATCACTTCAATACCTTTAATCGTTGGCTACAAGTATTGATGTCTTTTATATGAACTGTACAGATGTTAACAATCACTTTTATCACAGTCAAAAAGTGATTGGAGTTTAGCATGAATTGTTACTTCAGCTTTTAATGCTTTTTTTAGTAATTTATGCAATTATTTGGGTCAACTATAAGAATCTTTACTTTTCTTCTGATCTTAGTCATAACAAAATTTTGTTTATATCTCAAATAAATCATGAAAGTTATTAGGTATTTTATCAGGAATACTTTATAAGAAAGTAACATAATTTAGAAACATTATAATTTATTTATCTATGTGTCAAGGCAATTCAATATAATTTATTTTAATAATGTAAAGCCAAGTATTTGAGAAAAATCAATTATTAGTTTTAGGGGATTGGAAAATAAAAAATATTATGCTCAATTTTCTGTAATTATTTTAATAACTATGCTTTTTTACAACTCTCAGGCTTCTAAATTGGAAATTTAATTGGGTTTAAATGTTAAAAATCAAACACTTTCCAGTTATTTATTTATATATTTTTATTTTATTTATTTTTTTGAGATGGTATTTCACTCTTGTTGCCCAGGCTGGAGTGCAATGGCGCGATCTCAGCTCACCACAAACTCCGCCTCCCGGGTTCAAGCAATTCTCTTGCCACAGCCTCCCGAGTAGCTGGGATTACAGGCATGCACCACCATGCCCCGCTAATTTTGTATTTTTAGTAGAGATGGGTTTTCTCCATGTTGGTCAGGCTGGTCTTGAACTCATGACCTGAGGTGATCCCCTGCCTCGACCTCCCAGAGTGCTGGGATTACAGGTGTGAGCCACCGTGCCCAGCCACTCTCCAGTTATTAAGAAAATCTTAGAGATATATAAATTCTATAATATGAAATTTGGGATATAGTTTCAAAATTATTTTTTTCAAATATTACCTTTTACTCTTCCTGCCACACATACATTGATAATAAAAGCATACAGCCTTCCCTTTCTTACACAAACAGTATTTGAATCTTAAACTTCATACAGTTTATTGACCACTCCAGCACTATAGTGCTGCCACAGGTTGTTTAAATGTAACACTTATAATGTTGATCATTTATTTTCTTGCCTCTTAAAATCTTCAATTTTCATTTGTTAGTCACTATAGTAATGAAGCTGCAAAATGCTGTACTTACTCAGAATGATCTCTAAGTGAATTTAAAAGCATATGTTCTCATCTTAATTAGACATTCTGTTTCAATGAGATATATTGATGAAAAATGTCATTATGTAACATGTTGTCTTTATATTCTAGAAGAACATAATGTAGCATTGTATTTGGGAGTTAATTTTCAATTGCTTTCTCTAGGTTATGTTCAACTTTCTCTACTCTGCTCTACCTCGAAAGATACCTTGACTCCGCCAGAGAGCATCAGCCCAAATGTGCTTGATCTCTGGCTTCGTCTTGGGTTCAGTCAATCAGAGTTACAGATCAGAGACAAAGGCAAGAACTATTAGAACCATCTCCTCTCCAATTCTCCCATCTTCATAGACCACCTCAGGATCTATATCATTACTTACCTTACTTCACGATCTAGTAACAAGATGTTTGCTTCCTGCCTCTGCAGGCCTAAGGGTGGTATAAAAAGCTTCACATTTTTTATATGCCCTGGATATTTCAACGTTCTTGTGAGTCCTCTTGATACTGTCCAGATCTCTGTAAACAGACAGAGATCTTAGTCATAACAAAATTTTGTTTATGTCTCTCAAACAAATCGGGCCAGGCGCGGTGGCTCACGCCTGTAATCCCAGCACTTCGGGAGGCCGAGACGGCAGGATCACGAGGTCAGGAGATCAAGACCATCCTGGCTAACACGGTGAAACCCCGTTCCTACTAAGAATACAAAAAAAAATTAGCTGGGCTTCGTGGCGGGCCCCTGTAGTCGCAGCTACTCGGGAGGCTGAGGCAGGAGAATGGCATGAACTCGGTAGGCGGAGCTTGCAGTGAACCGAGATCGCGCCACCGCACTGCAGCCTGGGTGACAGAGCGAGAAAAAAAAAAATCACAAAAGTTATTGAATACTGGATCATGAGGAATAATCTACTAGAAAGTAACATTACATTTTGCTCAAATTCTACCCAGTCTGCATCCTGCTATTTGCCAAAAACCAGATTTAATTGATTTGGTAGATATCCTCTCATGCTTCCCATCCCCTGCAATAAGAATAAAATAATCTCAGTCACGTCTTGTCACCTGATGTTCTTAGAAGTAAATAATTACATTAAATTTTATACAATTTGTCTTTAATCGAAATATGTTTTACACTTTAAATATAGGTCAAATCAAAAACTAATTTATAATAGGTCTAAAGTGTTTGAAAGTTAATGTGAACACATAATTGCCATGCCACTGTTAGCAATGCTTTTATTAAGTGCCTAATTTTTCGCTGTGCTTCATCAAATGCTTAATATGGAAAATATTTAGTAACAATTTATGTTATTTCCATAACTTATGATGTTATCCTGTTTCCCTACTTTTTTCCCAATGTACATATTATGCAATCTCTTATGTGATTGTTTCTACAGCTCAATGAATTACAAATGATTAACTCCAGTCTCTGAGGAAGGTCATAGTCCTTGTCATGTCATTTGGCATTACTTTAATATGGGAGGACACTACAAAACCAATACAAACTGTTCTAACTGGATTAGCTCATTCAGTTAATCTGTCTTAAAAGATGCTCTTCAAAATATATGCACTCAAAATCTCAAACCCAGAGAGATCACTATTCCTCTAGATAGAGGTTCAAATTAGTAGGGGTTGGAAATTAAAATATAAACACACACACACACACACACAAACACATGCACTTTAACTAAAAATATTAATAAGATGTATGTACTCTTGTGATTTTTTTTAACTTACATTTCTCTCCACTCAATATAAGTCTCCAACTGAAGAAACAGTTACTGAACAATGCATCAATATGGAGATCAGATTTTCATTAAGATGACAGTATGTTACTACGAAGATTAAAGAACAAATTGGAGCCTTTCACTCAAAACATGAAAAATCTATTCAAACTGCTGAGTTCTACTTCATCCTCCCCTGCCTCAACAGTACATCAGTGTCAGATCTTTTTCTTATTCAAGCAACTAAAGAGGGAATTGCTGTGTCTGAAATTAGATTGTCATAGTAATAGCATTAATCTTAATCTCAACTGTTTAAGAATGCTCTTCAAATTTTGATTTTCAACATATATGAAGCATGAAATAATTTTTTACTGTTTGAAAAATCATGACAAAGACCACATAACATAAACTTTACCTTCTGAACTATTTTTGAGTGTACAGTTCAGTAATGGTAACTATATTAACATTGTCGTGCAAAAGAGCTCTAGAACTTTTCCCTCTTGCAAAACTGAAACTCTATGTCCACTATAACAACTCCCATTCTTTCTCTCCTCTCAGCCCCAGAAGCTAAAATTCTATTTTCTGTTTTGATGAGTTTGACTATTGTAGACATGCTACAGCATTATTCACAATAGCCAAAGTGACAACAACCCAAATGTCTATCAACTGATACATTGATAAGGAAAATGTTTTCACACATTTTAGGTAAGAAAATGGCAGTTAGAGAGACGCCCCAACATATTTGTTCTTTCAAATGTACCTTAAAATCCCTTAATATTTTTCCTTACAAGATCCTTTTGAAATTGTTTAACTAAACAAATAATTAAATCCCTATGAAACTGGCTCCTTGACCTTGACCCTCTGTGGCAACTATTCAAATGTTGCATCCCATTCCAAAGAAAGTAGACACAGGATTTTCATTCATTCTTAAGTGTTCAGTTCAAAATCTGCAGATATATTTTTCTATTTAAACACAAACTCCCACCAAGCATGCATGCATGCATGCATGCAGAAAAACACCTATACAAATAACACCACTTCATAAACTAAGACACAAACCAATAAACCAAAGGCAAATGAGAAAAGCAATCTCTATACATGTTTTTCTTGAATAGTCTCCTTGGCCATTATTTAATTTATATTTCCACTATTTCAGTATTTTAGCTCAAATTTCTCCAAAATTGTTCCTGACACCCTACACCAATCAAAACCACTCCATGTCTATAATTTGGCCAGAAAAAATATTAAAATTGTTATAGGCTATTATTTTCACACAATAAACATATACACAAAAAGAGAGAAAATCAATCATGAGCTTTGAAAACTTTTATTGATGACTATATTTTCCATGCCAGTGTTCTAATTCATCCTTAAAATAATTCATAGAGGCATCATGTATAATGCGGCTAAACACTCCCAACTGACTGCCTCCTCTACCCAAGACAATTACGTTAAACGTATTCTTTCCTCACACAAAGAACAGAGGATAAGATTTTTCTTCCTGTTAATGAAACTGTAACTATAATGACAATAAACTTAATTTTAGATAAATCACTGAATAAATACAGGCTACTTCTGACTAGTACTCATTTTTTAATTAAGCTAAGAAATATAACAAATAATAGGTGTAGATGATTATTTTATTCTATAGGATTTGTTACATTTTTGTACCCTGATGCGAGTACATAAACACAACCTTTTCCAGTAGTCTCAAAAAATGCACTGCTCTAAAGAATGTGTTCTTTTTGGAGAAATCTATTTTTTAAGCGTGATTAACAGTATTGAAATACCTTATAAATTACTGAAATCAGAATAATCTGTAGAAGATGTTGCTATGAGGAGTAAAGTCATACCAGTAGAATACCATTTTCAAATTTTACTTGTTCCTTGAACTTCAGCACAGCTACTGGGAGGTTGGGTATGGTCATTAATTTGTGTTCAGCAGTGATATGGTTTGGCTCTGTGTCCCCACCTAAGTTTCATGTTGAATTGAAATCCCCATTGTTGGAGGTGGGGCCTGGGAGGAGGTGATTGAATCATAGGGGTGGTTTCTAATGGTTTAACACCATACCTCTCCAGCGATCTCGTGATAGAGGTCTCAGGAGATCTGGTTGTTTGAAAATGTTTAGCATCTCCCTTTTCACTCTCTCTCTCTCTCAACTGACAGCTATGTGGGTATGTGCTTGCTTCCCCTTCACCATCCGCCATGATTGTAAGTTTCCTGAGAGATCCCCAAAAGCAGATCCTTACAGAACAGTAAGTCAATGAAACCTCTTTTCTTTATAAATTAAGCAGTCTCAGGTAGTTCTTTTTTAGCAGAACAGACTAATAAAAGCAATATCAATGTACAAGGACCGACATAAAAGACCATCATTTTTGTAGAATTTTTGTGTAAACACAGAGAAATTTTCTTTAATGGGGTCCATCCTGTAGAGTTGCCAAAAGAAAAAAAAAAAAAGGAATTTCCAAGTGCAAAAGCCACAAGCCTGGTAAGCCTCTCACAATTTCATCAACTTTCAGTTTCTAAAATATACTTTCATTCACCTATATTTTTGAGGAAAATTATAAAATTAATGTCACTGTTATTTATACTTTTACTACTACAGATATTATTAATGGTAACTATTCATGTAACATTGACTCTTGTGATGGAGTGATCATTATCCCTCAATATTCTTTATAGCCTTTTCCTAACTTTACAAAAATCTAGAGTTTCAGGTTGTCATCAGATCACTCAGAATAAATATTACATTTCCCAGCCTTTCTTGAAGCTAAGTGTCCCCAAATGTCCCAGTTTCACTCAGTAGGATATAATATAGGTGTCCTATGGCAGCTTCCAGGAATCTTTCTTAAGAAATAACTAATATTTGCCTTTCTCTTCCTTTTTGGATGCCAATACTTAGAATGAGTATGTCATAGCTATAGCCCGATCTCAAATTATATAATAAAGGCTCCCTAGAAAAAGCTGAAACCTGAGGAAGTGAGAATCCTCTTTTACAACACAGAGAAAATACTTTACTTTCCCACCAAAGTAATTATAGAATAATTAAGCTTATGAAGGAAGTTACCAGCTTACATCTCTTGTATACAAGCACTTTTATTAAAATTCATTGATATAAATGTATGCTAATTTCACACTTAGACCTTGGTTGGTGAATTGCACTTTAAAAAATTCATTCAGCTGTGGATATTTGTGTCACACACACACAGATCTTCAGCTACATTTGGACACAGGATGCTTCTTTGTGTCCTAGCTGACTGAACATATCACAGGTGGAGTTTACCATATCTAAAGTTTTCTGAGAAAAGGTTCTTTCCCCAAATGCCAAGGTCTCAAGAAGCAGATCAGGCTTGGTTACTGACTAGACCAAGATAAACAATGGGGCCTAGAAAACCACAAGGTCTGGAATAATTGGTCTGTTTGGGAAGGATCATGGTAATTAGCTCAGCTGATGAGATAAACTTTTTCTTTAACTAGAAAGTAAGACGAATTGCTTGTTCTAAATGAGTGAATACGATAGTAAAGTCATCTAGAGAAACAGAACTGCTTAGTGAAAGAGAGAGAAGGAAGAATCAGGTAGGTCCTCAAGTTGGTTTATTAGGTTGATGCAAAAGTTATTGTGGGTTTGTCATTACTCTTAATGGCAAAACACGTAATTACTTTTCTACTAACAAAATAGGTCCTGAATGACTTTTCATTCTCAGAATAAGTGATATATTTTTACATATTTTTTAATAAATATTTACTTTTTCTTATAACTAAAGGAAAGTCACACAGGGGACTGAGTAGAGTGATTATTGTAAATAAATATGGCACTAGCTGTGGTTTCAAGGCAGGGCATGACTCAATGAATAAATCTTCATTCTTACATGGCAAATGCAGTTTATACTGATGAAGGTGGTAATTAATCAGGTGTTTGTTATCACCTGGGACCAGAAAATCAGCCTGTTAATGGTGAGAATGGAAAAATGTTGTCTCTGCCTTTCATAAATACTAAAAGAATAAGGAGTAAAAATATCCTATCTAATGGCTTCTTCTCAGAGCAAAAGGCAATTAATAGCGAAATGAAGAAAAATTCCCAAACAGCTTGCCTGCTTACAAAGATAAGGGAATTCAGTATCACTTTGTGAGCATAGCAGTATTCTTCTCTGTGACCTCATACAATAAGAAGAGAATATTACCCAAAGTCCAGGACATCACCTGTCCAATTGTCATTACCATTCACGCCACTGCCTACTTTTGTGACACAGAGTTGTTCCTTGTGAGGCACCATGAACAGAAAATAAACCCAGAGGTAATTCTTCTCTCAGAGAGCAAAATCAGCAATCTTCCTGACTTTGGTCATGTCATACCAGTAGACTAAACAAGTCTTGACACCAAAAAAACCTTTTGACTTTTTCTGGCTGTAATTTTCTTCCAAGTTTTTCACTGAAACTTCTCAACAATTCCCAGTGACCTCTGCAACTAATCTTATTTACAGAGATGTTTTCTCATTATTTATAAAGAGAAATATGAATAGGGCAGAAATATGAATAGGCAGATACGTGGCATAGATCTGAGTAGTTGTGCACCAGTTTCTACTAGCAATGTTTCTTCTGGTTTCTTGTGGTAATGTCAAATGCCTTCAATTCCTCCAGCTGGCTCTGCAGATGATTAGTGCTCCCTTGGAGGAATTGAATGGTTTGAGAAAGACTAAGAACATTTCGCTGTGAAGTATTGTTGCCAGTCAACAAGGTTTGCTTATCTTTCTTCCAGCTACCTTGCTAGGACATCTAATTGTAGGTATAACTTTGTGAGTGGTCCACTTATATGCCACAGAACCTCAGCTTTTTAAATCAATTACTCAGTGTCCTGGAAGTGCTCGAAATTGGTTGTGAACCTCTGAAAAGAATCCTACAACTCAAGATCTAATTCAGTAAGATGTTTCCACAGACTGTCAAGCTGCAAATTTTGTTGGAGGTTGTGCTGGGAGATCTGGTGGTCACACCAGTGCTTTTCCTTTATCTCAAGTGCCTTCCCCACCTGCCAGGTCCATCACCATGTCAGTTGCATCTTCCAGGGAAGCAGGCTCCCAGTACTTTAGTCAGCCCCAGTGGCTGCCCCATGTTTCCCAACAGGCTCTTCCATGTCCAGTGAGAACTGATTTCGGAGGCCCTTCTCTATCTAAGCTATGCCTCATAGGTGTAAGTACCACATCTCTCCCCACAGCCTGGAAATTACCAATTGCAAGTGGTTTTGCAAACTATTTACCACAATCCTATTAGAAAAACATCAAAAATTAACTGCATCAGAAAAATTATAGAAAATGGTTACTATGTAGAACAATGGCCTGTGCCAGCTTGAGAAGTGATTGAAATCACTTCTCATATATATGTCACTCATGTCACTGCATTCCTGGTTCCAGGTAGTTTGGTGGACAACCTAAGGGGGGAATGAACATTTGCTCTTCCTCTCTCCATAATCCCTTTGCTGATGTTGTGTGTCTCATAAATCTTCTGCTTATTCTCCAAACCAAACAGCATACAAGTGAGTTTATAATTGTAGTTTAGAATATTTTCATAACAAGTAATAAATGTGTACTTTTATTCATACTGGATTATACTTTCTTTCATAAAATCATCTCCAGGAATTTATGACGTGGTAAAAAGGAAAGTGATTTGTAAGAATCTCTGGTCTTTTAAGTTAATTGACATCAAATAGCACTAAAAATCACCACAACTTGTAATCTATTGTAATCTACTGCATAGCCTTAGTAGGCTGAGTGAGGAGAATCCGAGACTGTGATAGGTGAAATTAAAAAGATAGATAGTTTTGTGACTAGAAGAGCTTTCTTAATACTTAAAACTGAGCGGGGAAGTGCCTAGTTTTGACTGATATTTAGACATTTTTCCTGGAAATGTCCTCAAATAATTTAAATTTTTAATACAAAAATACTTCTCACAAACTTCAAAAAGAAAAAATTTTGCTAGATTCAGGAAAATCTTGCCTGAAACTTTTAAGTTTTTTGTTTGTTTGTTTTTGTTTTTTCTCTCATGGAGATGGAACTAGGAGAGTAGAACTGAGAAGAGTTTTAAGAGATTTTGGTCATCCAGGTGGTTGGAAGCTAAAAATAGCCTACATGTCTATTTATCTTATCTTAACCAAAATTTTACTTGTTTTCCTTCTTAATTTGGCTTTCTTTTCAGCCTAAGGAAAGAATATCTTCTGCAGATAAAGTTGGGTAAGAAGAAGAAGGAAAAAATATAGTATTAGTGCATATTTGCAATTAACTTGCTGTCGTGAAGGTTAATTAATAATCAGGGAATTAAAAGCTGAGGAGAAGCAAGATTTTGTCAAGAAGCATATGGCAAAAAGCATGTGACATACAGGGTGTCTTAAAAGATAGCATCCTGGGAATTACCATCAGCAATAGAATAGAGTTAAAGAAAACTTCATTGCTTTACTTAACATGCATTTAGTAAAGTCCATCTCATTTAAGTCAAGGTTACTCAACCTTTGTGTATTGACATTCTGGGTCAAATAATTCTTTTTTTGTGGGGGTTGTTCTGTGCATTTCAGGATGCTGAACCACATTCCTGGCCTCTACTCAAGAGTTACCAATATTTCCCTCCCTCATACCCCTCTAGTAGAGACAATCAAAAACTGACTTAAACATGACCATATGTTCCCTTTGGTACAAAATCACTCCATTTGAGAACTTTTAGTAAAAAAATAATATGTGTTTTTCTCCAATTGGGTTTCTGCACATACAGAAGGAAAATTTGAAAGTATCGAGAAATCTACTTGCAGGAAAATTGACCAATCATTTTTATTTGTATAACCTTTTACGGAAGTATAATATACATACAAAAAAGTGCATATATCCTCAATGAACAGACCAGTGAATTTTAACACACTGAGCACACCTGGGAAACTAGCATTGAGATCAAGAAATAGAACATAACCCACAACAGTTGGTTCACCTTGTGCCCTTTCCCACATTCTACCTTCCAGGGGTAACGATTTTCCTGACCTCTAACAGCCCAGATTGATTTTGCCTGCCTTTGTCCTTTCTGTGAATGAAATCAGAGGGTCAGTAGTCTTCTGTCTGGGTGTTTTTCCTCTCAATATTGTTTTTATAAGATTCATTCTCCATGTGGTTTTACATTATTTTCATTAATGCTTAGTGTCAGATTCTATAAATGTAGCTCTATCTACATGCTATAAATAAGCATTTGAGTAGCTTTCTTTTCTTTGTTTATCATGAATGAAGCTGCGATAAATACATTTAGACAATGTTGTGTGTATGTGTGGGTGTGCATGTGCTGTGTGTATGTATAAATATGCTTCCATTTCTATTCAGCATTCACTCAGGAGTAGAACTGCTAGACAATCAGAAATGTGTTTGTCCACATTCATAGCCAATATACCTAACACAATGTACCAAAAAGATTGGCTTTTCCCCACTGTAACAGAGTGTTGTCTTTTTGATAAATCAGGTAAACACATGTATATTGATCTATTTATAGACTTTCAATTCTTTTCCATTACTCAGTTTGATATTTGTTATTGTGAGTCTTTCTGCTTTGTTCTACTTTGAGGCTGCCATGAAAATGTTTGCCTTCTAAAACACCATACAAATTTAGGAATCAGCTCATCAATTTACACACAGACATACAAACTGTATATTTCTGGCATTTTGATAATGATTGCATATACTGTACTCTAATTTATAGATCATTTCCATCTTTAAAATATCAAGTCTTTCCATCTATTTGTGTGATATATACTCAATTTCTTTAAGTATTCTTATATTTGTTGAGTTTTATAGTTCTCAAGATAGAGCCCTAAATATGTTTTCTTGGATTTATTTCTCAGCATGTTATATTTTTGATGCTGCTATAAATATATCTTTTCAATTTGTATTCAATTTAATTGGTCTGTTCTTATCTTTATTATTTATTTTCTTCTACTTTCTATAAACATGTTTTGCTGTTTTTTGCTTAGTTTCTTATGGTGAAATCTTAAGTAATTTAATTTTAGCCTATGTTTTTTGAAAATATATAGCTTTTATGGCCATGAATTTTTCCATAAGCACTTCTTTAGCTTTATGCCATTTATTTCAGTACATTATTTTCACTATAATCCACTTAAGAATATTTTCTAATTTTTGTTTTAATATTTCAGCCATTCTTTACTTAGAAATGTGCATTTTGTCATATGGTCATTACGCCAGCAACCCTAGAAAATTCACTTTCGGATTCTAACATTTGTCTTTAAATTATTTTGAATTTTACATAGTGTACCATCACATACTCTGTGATTAATAACAGTTTTTACCCTTCTTTTCCAATTCTTATGTTTTTCTCCCCCTATTGTTCACACTACAATGTCTAGGACCTTAACTGTTAGGCAATACAATCTAGTTATCATTCCAATCCCATCAAATATGGAGCTGGATTGGAATGGATTGCAGGCTTAGTAAGAATTTTCTGGTTTGCTGTTCTTTCTAGAGTGGTACCCACCTAGACTTTTGACTGTGAGTATGAAGGCACCCTCACCTCAGCCATGAAGGAAGATTCAGTGATACCCTGTGATATTCCCAGGCCATTTCTCCACTTGTCACCACACACTGCTGCAAATTCCAGCAAATATTTTACAAGGGATACAACAGTGAATACGTTGGAAGCACCACTCTTAGCATGTCTTTGTTTTCTGGGCATCTAATGACTACTGGAGATTTTATTCTGCCAGTTTGAAAGATTGGCCACTCTTAAGTCTTCTCTGTGCTCCAGAACTCAGGAAACTACCACTGATAATCTTGGTAGTATGCTTGAAAGCCCTTGAGATTTTAGTTTTTTTCTCCAGCCCTCCTCTAACACTTAGAGCTTTGCTGGCATCTGTCCCCTGGCAACGGACCTCTGCCTCAACTAAGCTAGACCTTTAGCTCCTGCCCAGGTGTGACCAGCGTCCCCAGGTTGGAAAAACTAGCCAATAACAATTAGCTCAATCCAGAAAGTTTCTTTTTCTTTTTAATTTTAGTTCAACAAGTCATGATCATTTCTACAGATCTTGGATACCACAAAAAAACCCACAATTCTTGTCATTTATGTGAAATAGTTTTCTGGTTCTTGAAACAAATATTGGCCTTCATCTTCCTACAGTACTCTTCTTTGGTAGCAGAAATCTCCCAATCACTTTTTTCTTAAATATTTCTGTCACTAAAGTGAAATTAATATAACAAAACCTATGAAAGAACACAATTTAGTGGCACTTATTATTTTCAGAATGGTGTGCAACTAGCACTTTTAATACTCCAAAAACGTTTTTATCACCTAAAAAGAAAATCTACTTATTAAGCACTCATTCCCACTTTCTTCCTCTTCACTCAAGCTCTGAGGACTACCAATCTGTCTAAAGATTAATTACTCTGGATACCTCATGTCAAAGGAATTGTGAAAGGAAAATAAATCTTGGGGCCCCAAAATCACTAAGTTAAAAGGAAAAGTAAAGCTGGGAACTGCTTAGGGCAAACCTGCCTCCCGTTCTATTCAAAGTCACCCCTCTGCTCACTGAGATCAATGCATATCTGATTGCCTCCTTTGCAGTGGATAATCAGAAACTCAAAAGAAGGCAACCATTTTTCTCTTATCTACACCTGGAAGCCTCCTCCCTACTTCAAGTCTTCCAGCCTTTGCTTCAAGTTGTCCCATCTTAATTGATGTCTCATGTCTCCCTAAAATGTATAAAATCAAACTGTGTTCTGACCACCTTGGGCACATGTCATCAGGACCTCCTGAGGCTATGTCATGGGCGCACGTCTTCAGCCTTGGCAAAATAAAGTGTGTAAATTAACTGAGACCTGTCTTAAATTTTGGGGGTTCACATACAAGTGACCTTTTTTACTTATTTTGTTAGCATATTTTCATTGTTCACCCATGCTGTATCAAGTATCAGAACTTCATTCCTTTTTGTAGTTGAATTTCATTGTATGTATATGCCAAATTATTATTCTTCTAATGATGGACATGAGTTACTTCCACTATTTTGCTATTGTAAATAATGCTGCCATAAATATCTTTGTACAAGTACTTCTTTGAATACCTGTTTTTGATTCTTTTGGGTTGATACATAGGAGTGATTCATAGGAGTGATACATAGAAGTGATGGGTCATGTGGTAAGTCTATGTGTAACTTTTGAAGAGCAGGCATTTTTTTTGTTTAACTTTTTTAAGGAAACAGTTGATTTGAAGTCTTTATCTAGTAAGCCCAAAGTCTGCTTCTGCAGGGACGTTTTCTATTAATTTATCCTGTGAAAGGATCATTTTATCTTGTTTCTTCAAACACTTTGCATTTTGTTGTTCTTGTTAAGAAAGAGGACTTTCTAAACAGTGTAATGTGCTAACTCTGGAAATCAAAATGATCCCCTTGTTCAGTGTTTTGTTGTTGTTTTTACCCTTGGCCTGGGATGTAGTTGTTTGCTTGTTTAGTTATTTTTATAACTGTTAAAATGACCGTATTCCTCACATACGGTCTCTAAAATCTGTTTCTTTAGCTTGTGGACAAATAGTGTTTGCTCAGAGATTTCTTTGAACATCGGAGACAATAATAATAATGATGATTTAAAAAACAGTGTTGGGATACGTTTTCAGCTTTCAGCCAGGGCCTCTACATATCTGTCTTAGCCTTTGCTTCCTGCTTGCATTGAGCCTAAAGATCTGCCACAAATGAAAGCCTAGGTCTTTTCTAAGCATGTATGCTTTCCTAGGCTTTCTGTGGTTTACTAAATTTTTAGTACAGAAGAGTGCTTTATAACTCCCTAATTCTAAGAGTCTCTCATCCTCATCCCACGTTTTCAGCATATCTCATTTGGCTCCGTAGTAACCATTTGCCCCAGGCAGCAGCAAATTGTTCATTTCCCTTTCACTATTTTTGAGTGATGCCCTCTGCCTAGTAGCTAGTTTTCTGCTCTGAGAGACTTCCAAATTAGGTGAAACAAAGACGAGCTTCTTGCTTCTGTCTTTCCGGTAGCCCCAAAACTGGTCAAAACAAATATGCAATTCTTTGAGAACAAGGTCTGCTCTGCTCCCTCTGGAACCACGGACTGGAAACACAGATCGCTGTATTTAAGGCTACTGCCAAGCTGGGGTTGGGGGCAGGGACAAAGGAAAGCTAAACTGCTGCAAAACTTATTTTCTAAATCCACTGATTCTTGATTCAGCACTTGCTTGCTCTAAACCTTTGAACCTTTGACTATTTTTCAGTTTCAACAAAGTTGATTGACAGTTTTTGATTTTTGCTTTTTGTGTGTGTGTGCATGTTGTTTCTGCGATGGGACAAGTTCTTGGAACTACCTGCTCTGCCATTTTCAGTGACTGCACTTCCTATTTTTGTTTCACCCAACTTCAAAGTCTTTGCCCTAGAGAGCTACTATTAACTTCTTATGAATCACTGCCCATTACTGACATGCAGTACCAAGGTTACTGTCTCCTAGCTCTCTCCTGATCCTTTCAGAATTCTCTAACAAATTTAAAGTGGTTAGTTGCATCTCCTCCCAACCATTTTTGAGTGCACAACTGGTACACACCAAACCGAATGACATAGTCTTACGACTTGGAAATGATATGGAAACCTATATATCTATATATCCATATGGAAATTATGTATACACACGGACATATACACTCTCACACACACAGTACACACATACTTGGACATTAATTATGACTGGCATACATACATGGAAAATATATATGACTGGCAGCAAGGAGAGTTGGTACATGCTATATTACTAAATATTTTAAAAAATTGTCTCAAATAAGATGATACTCTTAGCTGTCCTATTTATTCTTTGTAACTTTAGAGGACTGGGACATGAAAAGGTTTAATTGGCAACATATGCAGCAATTCCAACTAACTTTATTCAGTTTCTGAATCCCTGAAGGAGATTTGACTGTCAAATCTGTAGTAGTTTAAGAAGGAAACTTGAGTCACTCTTTCTCTTCCTCGTAGAGTAATGGCTGAGTTCAATCTGTAGAGATTAAGAAGGTTTAATAAAAAGAATAAAGATGCTGTACTTTGCATTATTTTTATTTAGGACATTCCAAAAATGGAGAAAAATTTTACTTTGATTAAGATATCTCTATGAGAACTTTAATGAAGGGAAGAAATTTATATTTAATCTGGGGTAGAGCTCAATTTACTGTCTGGGCTTTGCTATCATGAAGGAATCTATATATGACTTCTTCCTTCATATTAGTCTCTATATGAGTGGTTAGGTTGTTCAGTGTAAGTAAATAAACAAAAGAAGGCTCTCATGGTATCAATAAGGCACCAAATAGTTGTGTACATTTCTAATATAGTGACATCTGCACAATAATGTTTAACAAACTTTTTGGAAAAAGATAAAGCAAAGATGTCTAAAATTAGCAGCTTCTTTGCATAGAATGTAAATGCAAACCTAAAATTTTAGCAAAAACAATGAATTATCATTACAAGTTTAGTATCAAAAAGCTAGCTGTTACTTTTGTTAGAAGAAACACTTTAGACAAATTTAATTTAACAATTTAATTGCATAAAGAATGATTTGCAAATTGGGTAGCCCTTCAACCAGAAGAGAGTCAAAGCTACTCTGGCACTGGTGTCATAAGCATTTGAACCAGAATGACACCATCTTGAATAAGGCCTGGGTGAAATAAGGCTGAGACCTACTGGGCTGCACTTCCAGGAGGATAGGCATTCTAAGTTACAGGATGAGATAGGAGGTCAGCACAAAATACACATCATAAAGACCTTGCTGATAAGACAGATTGCACTAAAGAAGCCAGGTAAATCCCACCAAAACCATGATGGCAAGGAAAGTCACTTCTGGTCATCCTTACTGCCCATTATATGCTAATTATAATGCATCAGCATGCGAAAAGACACTCCCACCAGCACCATGACAGTTTACAAACGCCATGACAAGGTCAGGAAGCTACACAGTATGGTTTAAAAAGGGGAGGAACCCACAGTTCCAGGAATTGCCTACCCCTTTCCCAGAAAACTCATGAGTAATTTACCCCTTGTTTAACATATAATCAAGAACTAAGTATAAATATCCTTAGTCCAGCAGCCCAAGCTACTGCTCTGCCTATGGAGCAGCCAATCTTTTATTCCTTTAATTTCTTAATAAACTTGCTTTCACTTTATGGATTCTCCTCCAAATTTTTTCTTGCATGAGATCCAATAACCCTCTTTTGGGGTCTGGATCAGGACCCCTTTCCAGTACCACTGATGCTGAGTCAAAGAGGATTTATGGATAAAAAAAGAAAAATGATGTAAATAAATGGAAATGAGATACAGAAACAGCTCGATTGGTTACAACTTGGCGTTTGCCTTATTTGAACTTGGTTTAAACAGTTGGCTTCCTTTAATTGCCTGAAACTTGGTAATTGCTACAAGAGTAGGGTACAGGTTGTTTGTACATTCAGATTGGCTATAGTTTGCTTTTACAAAGAAATCTTTATGTCAATCTTAAAATATATAAGGAAGCAACTTTAGGCTAAATTCAATTTAACACTTTTTATAGCTTAATATTAAATGGGGCAAAGTTAATATCCTTAAGTCTATCAACTTCTAGATTGTTCTTCTGATCCATTATATTGAAAATACATAATAATAAATAGAAATTCACATTCATCTGAGTATGATGGAGGAAAAAACAAAATTTGGCTAGCTTTGCCCATACAGAGGCATCAACTTATAAGATTACATTTATTTCTGATAACAGTAGGGTCAAAGACAGACAGCTTCCCCTTTGTTCTATGAAGACTCACCAAAAATGAAGTGGCAATAGGCAGATTAATAGGAGAAAAAATATGCAAAATATATTTACCAAACATAACATGGAGGAATTACATGAGTATAATTACCCAATAACCCAATGAGGTCCAGATGTTTATCGGTTCTTCTTCTTAGGACAAGGGAACAGGAGAGGTATAGAAGTAAATGTATTTTAGGGAAAAAAGAATGAGCTCAAAGAATAATGACCTGGCACAAAATTTCCCTGAGGTCTGGGGGAGGTGGCAGGAAGGTGAGTGGCAGAACTTTGCTTTGAACAAAGGTCATCTTATTGTGAAAATAAAGGCCCTCAAGTAAACCCTTGGAGCAGCCCTTCGAGGAAGAGATGAAAAGTCTGTCTGGTCATGGTGAGGACTCCTAGCTTCTTCTCTTCGCTGTGGTAATTCTTTCCTGATTATTTGATGAGATTACTAGGAAAAGGGTCTTAAGACAATTGCATTTCTTTTAGAGACAGGCTTTTTTTAGTCAGATAAGAAATTTATTTTTTCAGAAAGAATTCCTCCATGTGCTTCAGGAAAGAAAGGATCAGAGATGGGAAGGGGAAGGTCTTAGAGAGACTTTGGTTCTGAGGCATATTTCTGAGACCTTTTAATTTTCTTTAATTCTAACACTCAAAATGCCAAAGCATTGTATTTTGAGGTATCATTTTCTGTGCCCCAACATAATCAAATTAAATCCTTACACCCTCAGCTTCAGGACTTGTAGTGGGTAAGGTGTTAGGGTTCTACCCTTGAAGCAATCAAAAGCAGTGTACAATACTTGATGAAGGTGCTTTTACGATATTATCAGAAACAGGCTTGAGATGGTTACAATCACATTGCAGAAGTTTCTAAATATGGCCCTAAGGTTCTTCTCCACTCTTCACATTGAGAGAGGGGTTTATATCTTCCCCGTCAGTCTAGGCCTCTATGGCCGCTTGGCCAATAGAATACGGGAGAAGCGACACTGTGCTGTGCCAATTTCCTGTCCAGACATTAAAAAAGCAAAACAAACAAACAACCCAGCAGTTTCAACTTTCTAAGTCTAAGGAATTCGTTCTTGGAATCCAGCCATGATGCTGTAAGAAGGCCAAGCTTCCCATGAGAAGTCCACATGGAGAGAAACCAAAAGCTATCACAAACTTGCCGGCTATGGTCACAACATGTGGAGGAGAGATGAGCTATCCCCATTAAGCCTTGCACAGATGACAGATTGCTAAGCAAAATAAACAGTTATTGTTTTAAGATACAAGATATAGATTGTTTGTTACGGAGCAATAGATAACAAGAGCACACCTACACATACGCACACACATAAATTTCTTATTATGTCTCAAACATATGTTGCTAAGCAAATTTACTTGAGAAAAAAATATGTTCTTATAATCTTGAATCTGAAAATGTCACCATAAAGAAATGCACTAAACTTGCAAGATAAATCACAAAATTCTACTAAATTTCTAACTGAATATTATTTTCCATTGAAATTAATGTACAAAAAACATTAATTTCAACATATTATCTGCATAAGAAAGACCTTTATATCAAGTATCATGTAGAAAACCCTTGTACACTCAAAGAATGTTTATTTGGTATATTATTGAGATGGTTTTTCAAGTTAAAAACAAATCTACTTTCCTTGCAAGTTAACATTGGTTGTCTTTAAGTTTGGTTGAGAATTATCTGCAAGCATGTAATAGTTGTATTTTGTTGTTCCATTTGAACGTCTTCAGTGACAGCAGGATTCTCAGATCTCTTGTGTGACATCTTGTTTTTATTTGGCTGGAGAGTAATAATAAATGTAGCTAATAATTTCCTTTTCATAGCCAGTATTTGTAACACACTGCTCTGTGCTACAATTACTTTTGAAGCACACAATTGGAATGTAAGAACAACTAATCACCCCTAGATTGCATCATATTTGTTCTATTTTCAATGAAAATCACATGACACATTTCTGTACCAATTCTTTAAATGCCTTTCCTACCAAATTCTCTGTTTATAACCATTTGCAACCTGATATATGTATCAGCAAATAATGCAAGTGGAAAGGTAGTTACATTATTATTAACACACTCTTATTCAACATTCAAAAGAAACTTGGCTTGTCTATTCATGTTCATTTTCATGCTTCATCTGATATTCATGATACAGAATAATAAATTTAATATCAGTGAACATATTTTTGCCTAAAAGAATAAAAATCAGAAGAAATTGCTCACTAATATATATTCTAGAAGTAATTCTATATCTAGTCCCAAGAGCTTGAGGAAAATGAAAGCAATTTTTTAATTTTCAATAGTGACAATGAAACAATCATTTGAACAAACTTATTGATCAGATTTTAAATTTCATGTGCTCTTCCATAGATTTCACAGTTTAAACATTCTTCTAATTCTTCAGTGAAGATAGATGACAAATTTAATAGCATATATTTTCCTTTTTTATTAAAAAATTATTGTACATGCTGCAATAAATAGCAACATTGATTCAGTGAAATGAAAATGCAATATATAAAATATCTTATTTTTATTGAAAGCTGTAGTAGTTATATTTGACATACAATGTAACACATATATTTAAAATTACAGCTTGATTTTTTTTTTTTTTTTGAGAAGGAGTCTCACTCTGTTGCCCAGGCTGGAGTGTAGTGACGCCATCTCAGTTCACTGCAACCTCCGCCTCCTGAGTTCAAGCGATTCTCCTGCCTCAGCCTCCTGAGTAGCTGGAATTACAGGCGTGAGCCACCCGCCTGGCCACAACTTGACATTTTTTTACACATGTATATACAGGTGAAACAATTATTCCCATCAAAATAATAAACATAGCAACCACCTACAAACTTTTCCTCCTACCCTTTTATTACTTCCTTCTTACTCCGTTCCAGATTCCTCCAGAAAACTAATGATCTGCTTTCAACCACTATAACTATGTTTCATTGTCTAAAACACATAGTTTATTTTATTTATTTATTTTTGTGACGGAGTCTTGCACTGTCGCCCAGGCTGGAGTGCAGTGGCACAATCTCGGCTCACTGCAACCTCCGCCTCCTAGGTTCAAGTGATTCTCCTGCCTCAGCCTCCCGAGTAGCTGGGATTACAAACCCATGCCACCACACCCAGCTAATTTTTTGTATTTTTAATAGAGAAGGGGTTTCACTATGTTGGCCAGGCTAGTCTTGAACTGACACCGTGATCCGCCCACCTCGGCCTCCCAAAGTCCTGGGGTTACAGGCCTGAGCCACCACGCCTGGCCTAAGTATAGTTTATAAGAATCGAATTGTACAGGATACGCTTTCTTCACATATTTGTCTTTTTAAAAACTTGTAGCTATCTTAGTGCGTGTGTGTATATGTATAAATGCTGGTATCGAACTCTGGGTCTACATTTTTCAAATGACTAATGACGTTGAGGAACTTTGCACATGCATATTTAATAGTCATCCGTAGATCTACTCTGGTGAAGTGCTTGTTGAAATCTTTGGCCAGTTTTTCATTTGGTTGTTGATTTTCTTATTGTTGATCTTTGAGTCTTTTATGTATTCTGGATACAAATCTTTTGTCAGATATATACTTTGTAAAGATAATTTCCCAGGACATGGCTTGCATTTTTATTATCTTAAATTTTTACTTTTGATATGTGTTTTAGTCCATTTTCACACTGCTATAAAGATACTACTGAGGCTGAGCGCAGTGGCTCATGCCTGTTATCCCAGCACTTTGGGAGGCCGAGGGGAGTGGATTGCTTGAGGTCAGGGGTTGAAGACCAGCCTGACCAACATTGTGAAACCCCCTCTCTACTAAAAATACAAAAACATCTGGGCGTGGTGGCGGGCGCCTGTAGTCCCAGTTACTCACGAGGCTGAGGCAGGAGAATCGTTTGAACCTGGGAGGAGGAAGTTTCAGTGAGCCAAGATCGCGCCACTGCACTCTAGCCTGGGCGACAAGGCAAGACTCGGTTTCAAAAAAAAAAAAAGAAAAAAGAAAAGAAAAAAGAAAAAGATGCTACTGAGACAGGGTAATTTATAAAGGAAAGAGATTAAATGAACTCACAGTTCTGCATGGCTGGGAGACCTCAGGAAACTTCCAGTCATGGCGGAAGGCAAAGGGGAAGCAACTACTGTCTTCACAAGGCAGCAGGAGAAAGAGAGAGAGCAGGAAAAACTGCCACTTTTAAACCATCAGATCTCCTGAGAACTCCCTATCACGAGAACTCCCTATCACGAGAACAGCATGGGTGAACCTCCCCCATGATTCAGTCACCTCTCACCAGGTCCCTCCCTTAACACCTGGGGATTACAATTCCAGATAAGATTTCAGTGGCGACAGAGCCAAACCATATCCATGTGTATGATTTATCAACATTTTCCTTTCATGGATCTTGTTTTTGTTGACATATATGAAAATTCTACTTAACCAAAAGCCATAGGATTTTTTCACCTATGTTCTCTTATGTATTTTTTATAGTTTTATCATTGACATCTAGCTCTATGATTAATTTTGAGTTTTTTTTAATGTAAGTTTTGCTTTGGTTTCTGTATTGTTTGTATTTTTTGCTTATTTGTTTATAGACATCTAATTTTCCCAGCACAAATTTTTTGTAATGTCTATTTTTTTTTTTTTTTGCCCTTAAATTAACTTGGCATCTTCGTAGAAAATCAATTGACTGAAAAGGTAAGCCTTTATTTCTGGACTCTCAGTTATACTCATGGACCTATTTGATTATAATTTTGGTAATAACACGCTACCTTTATTATTCAAATTGTACAGTGTATTCAGACTTAAGGTGGTATAAGTCCTCCAATTTTTTTTTCAAAGTGGTTTTGGCTAGGCTCAATCTTTTACATTTCCACATAATTTTTAAAATCACCTTGTCATTTTCTATTATAAAATAACATGCTGAGATTTTGATAGGAAGTTCATGTAATCTACAGAACAATTTGAGAAGAGTTCTCATCTTAACAATTCTGAGTCATTCCATGAACATGAGATACCTCATCATTTGCTTAGGTCTTCTGTACTTTCAGCAATATTTTGTAGTTTTTAATTGTTGTTTTAAATATATTTTTATTGTAGCTTCTAATGTAAATGTGAATAAAGCTTTTTTCTGAGATTTTATTTTTATGTCTCTTATTGCTAGAATTCCAAAATGCATTATTGTACATTAATTTTGTATCCTGTGATTTTTGCAAACTGTATTTCTTTGTTTTCTTTCTGAGTGTATGTATTCCTTAGGATTTTCTATCTATAGGATTATGTCATTTGCAAAAAATAACTATCTTACTTCTCCTTATTACTATGCATGCTTGTTATTTAATTTCATTTTTATCATTTTATTTTTGCCATATAACACTGGCTAGACTCTTAGCATGACATTTAATAGAATGGTAGGAGTAGACATTTTTTACTTTTTCTCTATAATAGGAAAAGGGGTTTTCAGCCTTTCACAACTAAACATGATATTAATTGTCATTTTTTTGTTTGTTTGTGGTATGTGTCCTTTATCTAGTTGAGAAAGTTCACTTCTATTTCTTAACTTTGAGAGTTTTTACTATGAAGCAGTGTTAGATTTTCTTCAATTATCATTTTTTTGTGTCTTTTAAGATGATTATGTGTATTTTTGTGCTTCACTCTCTTAATACACCATACTAATAAATTTATAGACATTAAATTACCTGTTCAGTTCTTGAATTAACCCCATTTGGTATAGTATATAATTCTTTATTTGTTTCTTTCTTTTTTTTTTTTTTGACAGAGTCTTGCTCTGTCACCAGGCTGGAGTGCAGCGGCACGATCTCAGCTCACTGCAACCTCCCCCTCCTGGGTTCAAGTGATTCTCCTGCCTCAGCCGCCTGAGTAGCTGGGACTACAGGCACATGCCACCATGCCCAGCTAATTTTTTTGTATTTTTAGTAGAGACGAGATTTCACCATGTTAGCTAGGATGGTCTCAATCTCCTGACCTGGTGATCCGCCCACCTCGGCCCCCGAAAGTGCTGGGATTACAGGCATGAGCTACACGCCCGGCCAGTATAGTATATCATTCTTATATTATGCTGAATATAATTGGCTAATATCTTAAGATTTTACGCATTTATGTTTATAAGGTTATTGCACTATGAATTACTTTTCTTGTGATTTTTTGTTTGGTTTTGGAATACACTAACCTCTTGGAAATGTGATTAACACTGTCCCCTTCTCTTCTGTTCTCTAGAAGCGTTTGAGTAGATATGGTATTTTTTCTTCTTTAAATATTTGATGAAATTTACCAGAGAAGCCATCTGGGCTGGCCTTATGTTTTGTTGTTGTTGTTGTTGTTGCTGTTGTTCTTTTCTTGAGAGGTTGATTATGCTTTGGGAAAGATTTTTAATTTCAAACTTTTTTACGGATGTAAGTTTTATTCAGGTTTTCTATTTTTTCTTGAATTAGTTTTGGTAACTTCTAACTTTGTCAGACTTTGGGTGGATTAGACTCGATATTGGTTAGAACCTAATAAAACCTTGCTGCAGTTTCATCAGAGGTCCACTCATAGTTTGTCCTGAAAGTTGGGAGAGGAGAAATTCTCCTAATGAGCAAATCTTTGGTCATTCACGTTATATGGAAAGAGAAGCAGACTAGTGACAGAATGTATGCAGAATCATGGGGTGTGGCAAATAGCTTAGCAGGTTTTTGGAAAGTCTGCAAAAAAAAAATGAGACTAAGAACAAGAATGTCTGGGGAACCACATGTCAATTAACCTACAGGAGTGGACATGATATATGATCTTTGTAGTATATGATAATACCCAACAAGAGGCATGTGCCATTGACAATGCACTAAACAACCAGACAGAAACAATGACTCAGCCATTTGATGTAAGAAAGTCTCAATGGCCCCTTTAGTCCTGAAAGGATAAGTGCATAATAATAAGGTTGTTATAGTGGCAAGGGTGGTCATGAATGAACCTAGTGACATAGATTCCAACTCACTAAGGCTGACCTAGCTACTATGGCTTCAGAATGTCCAATATTCAAACATAAAAGTCCAATTCAGAACCCATGATATGCCCTCATACATGAAGAGACCACATGTACTCTATAGTAGCAAGTTAATTACAGTGGAGTCCTTTGACACCAGAGGTGAAAACATCAAAACCTATCCCAGGTTCAGTTCCTGCCTTCAGGGTCTCAATAAGCATTATCATTCAAGGAATTACAAGTTGATATAGGACTAGCACAGCCTCAGAACCTACTTTAGAGCAAAACAGTGTATCAGTGTAGTTTACTGTGGCATCAACTACTTCTGTTATACACACATACGCACACACACATACACACATATGCACCCCACCCAGAAGCTGTTAATCAGAGAGAGAAATATAAATGTAACAGTCCATGAAAAGCACAACTGATGTGCCTGTTTAAGGATAATACTCTGGTAAGGTAGAACACTGTATTTCAAAACGCAATATATCCCCTAAATCAATAGCTCTCATATGGTGCTAGGATAAAAAAGTTGAGATATATGGATTTGATAGCTGAGAGTGGTTCTCAGTAAGTAACTGAACTTATTTTTATTTCCAGCTACCCATTTAAGAGGTTTTTACTTATTTCTTTTTTTTTTTCCTCAGAGATCTGGGTTCCTGTGGAAGAAGACTTTCACCAGAGTACACAGCAAGAGTCCCTTTAAACTTCAATCCTTGGCTGTTGTAGGTATACTTCAGGACTTGTTGTCAAAATACCAATAATCAAGAGAAGGTGTCACAATCTTAGTAGTAGTAATTATCTTGATCATCATAAAGAGATAGAAATGTTATGCAGTGAGGTCAGAAAACAACATGCTTGATACTCATGTCCTCCCTGAGATATCTCTTGGCATTTTCTTACCCAATTTTATTGTTTAATGCTCATGTACAGTAGACTGAGGGAAGCATGAAGACCTGGAGTTCAAACCCCCTTGGGAGTGAATAACTTCTTGGTCAACTTACGAATAAGACCCTAAGCCAGTGAAGATCCTTGTTAAAATTGACGGGAATCTAGAACTGGTTTTTAAAAAAGAAAAAAAAAGAGAGAGAGAGAAGCAAATTATGTCTTCAAGACCAGCTACAGTGGTGATGTTGAAGTTTTTTCCACTAAACTTCCTGTTGCAATTTACCCCAAGAAATATGACCAGTGCAAATCTTGAATGAAGAGTTTCTAAAATGTATTACATAAAGTATGTGGAGCTGAAGAAAGCAAAAGGTTGGACTATAATGGATGCTCTTTTGTGCCTCCAAGATACACCCTTCAGTTCTGAGGCTTTCATTTGTCCGCCCCCTGAGAGTATTGCTGCCTGATGTCTTTCTCCTGAGCCTTGAGACTTATGAATTGTCCTTGGGCAAAGGGAGCTGCCTTACCAGAAGAAACCTTCTTTCTCTAGGACACTCCTTATCAAATGGCTATTGATATGATAGTATAAATGCTTGTGCCCCTATATCAAAGCAGAATTCTAAAGAACCATTTTAGCAGAGCTGCCCAAGAGATTGGCCAAGGCCTCCTTGAGACTGTTTCACAGTTCAAGTTCTTTTTCTCAATCTTAATTTTTTTTATTTCTCAATAGGTATTAATCCTGAGAACTCTCCTTAATAAAATTATTATGTGCAAATTTTCATCTCCAGATCTGTTTACTGAGAAACTTTGCTATATCTGAACACAGCACATAACCAAATCATCACTCTATTCTAATCAATAAACAGAAAATAACAATGGACTATTTCCTCTGCTAGCATATCTGATAGGGCAATAGTGTATTCGGGTTAAAATATTATAAATTTAGACATTATAGGTCTAAATTTTAGATAAATTATAGGGTCTATTTATTCAAAATAAGAGGTTCAATACACTTGTGATTCTGTAATCATTATCCTACTTCATAATGTGGCTCACTAATGCTGATCACATGGGGACAGTGGGCAAGAGTAAGCAAGACGTGTGCATTTTTATTGGCACTACTGGAAAGTAATCAAAAAGGTTATATATTAATGTTTTATGTCTCGTGGAAAAGTTACACATACGTTTTTGAGAGAAAATTTAAAGGGCAAACATGGTAAAAATAATTTAAGAAACAGAAACACTGTGGGAAATATGAGTTGCTGTATGTATTTAAAAATATAATTGTACAAATATGTAATCACCCAAGGGGTTCTTCCTGCACACTGCACAAAAATCAATTGACTGAGACTGTAGTATTGCAGAAAATAAAGAATTTAATAGATGCAAGGACAGCCATGCAGGAGAACTAGAGCTATCACTCACATCAGTCTCCTCAAAGGCTCAGAGGTTAGGGTTTTTCAAGGATAATTTGATGGGCAGAGGGCTAGGGAATGGGGAATGTTAATTGTTAGCGTAGGGGATACATTCACTGGGGGTCAAAGTGGGTTTTTCTTTCTGCTTTCGGTTCCTGGGTGGGATCACAGAACTAATTGAACCAGTTTACCGATCTGGGTGGTGCCAGCTGGTCCATCAGAATGCAGGGCCTGATGAATGTCTCTAACAACAATCTTAGGTTTTACAATAGTGATGGTATCCACAGGAGCAGTTGAGGAGGTTAGGAATCTTGTGGCCTCTGGCTGCATGACTCCTGATCCATCATTTTTAATCTTGTGGCTAACTTGTTAGCCTTACAAAGGTGGTCGGGTCCCCAGCAAAGAGAGGGTTCATTTCAGGAAGGGGCTATCATCTTAGTTTCAAAGTTAAACTATAAGGTAAATTCCTACTATGGTAAGCTCAACCTACACCCAAGAATGAACAAGAGCAGCTTGTAGGTTAAAAGCAAGATGGGGTCAGTTAGGTCAGATTTCATTCACTGTCGTAATTTTCCTATGTTTGATTTTTTCAGTGTCATAATTTTTGCAAAGGTGTTTTCAAATACACTTTTCTTTCTTCAACTCATAAATAGCAACTGGACAGCTGAGTAAATGCACTAGGATTCTCCAATTAACTAATCCCTTTATGTGGTCCATTCCCTGCCAAAAAGCTCAAGTTTTCTTATATAAAATAATTCTCCCAGAGTTTTTGAGATTATTCTAATAAAAATTGTAAATAAAAAATTATTGTAAACGATAAAATTGAAAGTCGATATCTCGTCCCTTTAATCCCACTTAATAATCAATTTTTTTAAAGTTTCAAAAATCATTTGCTAACTATGACTTACTATTATTGTTTTTATTTACTAAAAAGTTTTCAGGTTGTGCTTCAGTCAAAAAAATACAACCTACTGATAATACACTTACTGAATTCGTAAGTATTAGAGTCTAGGTCATTCATGTAGCTATACTAATAAATAGTATGGATTTGATAGAGAAAATGCTAACCAATTTATTCTGGTGGGGGAAAAAAAAGAAGTCTTTGGTTATGGAGCATTGAGATAATTAGGGTGGAATTGGCAATACAGGGGATGATGCTTCAACTTCAAGTCCCTTGAGTGCAGAGCACAGATTGAACAGCTGTTGGCCAGAATCCAGGAGGTCAAAACTGGCCAGCTGTATCTTTGGCCAGCAGTGTTGAGTGGTACTCCATTTCTCCAAGCACAAAGGGCAAGAAAAGGTGAGGAAGTCTTAGCTTTTCAACTGAAATGCATGTGGAAATTTCCCCAGTGGATGATACCTTCCTCTAGATGTTAAAGCTCAGGGCAGGCAGATGGTGGTTCTGTCAAATAGCTTGCATTAGAGACTCCATTCTTTTGAGAAAAATACAAACTTAAATTTTAGAGACATAGTACTTGATATAGGTTACCACTACATTAAATGACTGCATGATTTAGAGATGTTTGATGTCAAAGCATTTTAAAAATAAAACCATAAATTATACAATCTTTTACAAAGTGAGTTAGAAGCTTTATTTATGAGGATTGTGGTAATTAAAACAACTGAATTACAAGGAATTGCATCGAAGGAATTTTTCTGTGTTGCTTTTTAGCTTGTTTTCTGGCAGGTGTCATGAGATGGTCAGATAAATGCTCTAGTATATTATTCAATAATTATTAAAACATGTACTGCATAACAAAAATAATAAAAGGAAGCTCTGAACACCTATGAGTTAGTGTAAAAAGTAATATTGGTCAGCAGGAGTGGTTACTCAAAGCAAAGCAGCGATGTACACTCAAGCAATATTTAACAATAGGGAAACCTGAGAAATGTATCGTTAGGCAATTTTGTCATTGTGTGAACATAATAGATTGTACTTATACAACCTAGACAATATAGCTTACAACACACCTGGCATATACGGTATAGCATATTGCTTCTAGGCTACAAACCTGTATGGTATGTTACTGTACTGAAGACTGTAGGTAATTGTAGCACAGTGGTGAGTATTTGTGTATCTCAACATAGAAAAGGTACAGTAAAAATCATAGTATAACAGATAGAAAAACATACACCTGTACAGGGCACTTACTGTGAATGTAGCTTGCAGGACTGCCAGTTGCTCTAGTTTAGTGCATAAGAGAGTGGCAGGTAGATATGAAGGCCTGAAATTCTATGGTAGATGTCATTAACAGTGTACACTCAGGGTATATCAAGAAATATTTCTTCAATAATAAATTAACATTATCTTACTGCTATGTTTTTACATCATAAGCTTTTAAAGTTTTTAACTTTTTGACTCTTTTTAGTAACATGTAGCTTAAAACATAAACACATTGTATAGCTGTACAAAATATTTTCTTTATATCCTTATTCTACAAGCATTTTTCTATTTTTAAAAATTTTTAGTTTATTTTTTCCTTTTAATTTTTTTGTTAGAAACTAAGAAACACACACACATTAACCTTGCCCTACACTGGGTCAGGCTCTTCAATATTACTGCCTTTTACCTCCATATCTTGCCCCACTAAAAGGTCTTCAGTCACAATAACAAGCATGTAATGATTATCTCCTATGATAAAAATATCTTCTGAAATACTTCCTGAAGGACCTGCCTGAGGCTGTTTTATAGTTAACTTATTTATACCCTAAAATAACAATGAAATGTATAGTATATTAAATACATAAACCAATAGTATAGTTAGTTCTTATCATATCAACTATTAAGTATTGTACATAATTGTAAGTACTATATACTTTTATATGCCTGGCAGTTCAGTAGGTTTTTTGTACAGCAACATCACCACAAACATAAGAGTAATTCATTGCACTGTGATGTTACAAGGACTATGATGCTACTAGGTGATAGGAATTTTTCAGCTCCATTATAATCTTAGGGGACCACCATCCTACATGCAGTCAGTCATTTACTGAAACTTGGTTACATGGCACACGACTGCATTTGAAGCCAAGACCACAGCTCATCACAGGCAGCTGTGGAGTATGAATTACCCATCATAATTGTTCTGTCTTAAGGCAAATATGCTGGGAGTTTATATCTTTTCATTCTCCAGTCATTGGATATGGGCAGTTGCCTAAAAACTGGCATGACTTTGGGCAAGGTTGCTCTCTTGGGCTAAAAGAAGCTTCTTGGAGAGCGTTTCATCTGAGACGTGTCATTGACCAATGTTCTCCAGGTCCAGGTCCAGTAGTCTTATAAACCCAGAGAATCTATTGTGCCAGCTTCAAAATAACTTAAAATACAATATAAAAGTTTAAGTACCACTGTGACATGAATTATAAAAATATTGATATAACCCTTTGATTATTTAGTATAGATATTTTGCAATTTAACAATATACTGTTTGATGTATTTTTTTAATTTGCCAAGAATACTTAATGTAATGAGTATGAGCAAAATTTTTCTATTTTCTCTCAGTGCTGAAAGTCTATTTTCTGTTGCATTAGAAGAATATCACATTTTATGTGCTTTTTTTTTTTTTTTTTTTTTTTTTTGAGACAGAGTCTTGCTCTGTCGCCCAGGCTGGAATGCAGTGGCGTGATCTCGGCTCACTGCAAGCTCCGCCTCCTGGGTTCACGCCACTCTCCTGCCTCAGCCTCCCAAGTAGCTGGAACTACAGGCACCCGCCACCACGCCTGGCTAATTTTTTGTATTTTTAGTAGAGACAGGGTTTCACCCTGTTAGTCAGGATCTTCTGACCTCGTGATCCGCCCGCCTCGGCCTCCCAAAGTGCTGGGATTACAGGCATGAGCCACCGCGCCTGGCTTTTACGTGCTATTTATTTGTGATCAACAAATACAAGTGGAAGACTACATAGCAAAGTGGGAATCAGTATTGGAAATATATTTGCAAATAGATAATGGAATCCATGAGAGTAAATATTCAATAGGAATAAAATATATTATGAGAAAACATTGTAATCCAAAGCTTGGTGGATATTTCACAGCTGGTAAAGAAAAAACAAAACAAAACAAAATACATCAGAAGCAACAACAAAGAAAAATAGACTCATAAGTGGCCAAAGGTATAATTAAGCTAGCAAAAAAATAATGGTTTTGTGAAAACCAAGAGAGAAGAAATTTATATAGTTTATCAATAACATCAAAAATTACAGTGATGTCAAGTAGAATTCTTACTGAAAAAAAGACCTTAAATGTGCAGATTACAAGGATACTCATCCCAAATATTCAGGGTCACTCTGAAAGTGGTAGTGCTGATGTGACAAAATAGGGCTAAATTCAGATATGTCTCGGACGTATTTTACTATCTTCTATGAGGTAAGCAAAATTCAAAAAATGGCCCCCACCACATTTTTTATCATTATTATTGGGAATGCCAATATAACGAAAATCACGCTATTGAATATGTTAACATACAAGGCCACAGGGACTTAGAGAATGTAATTAAGTGTACTAATCAGTTGACACTTATGATCGGGTAATGACCATGGTCCAATGTAATCACACGCGCATTTGAAAAGCAGAGTTGCCAGCTGGTAGCAGAAGAGGAATTCAGAAAGATTAAAGTGTGAGAAAGACAAAACACATGGTTGTGGACTTTGAAGACAGAGAAGGTGACGTGAGAAGTACAGGTGGTCACTGCTGGCAGAGAGCCAACAAGGAAAGTGGAACCTTTAGATCTCCAACTGCATAGAACTGGATTCTGCCATTGATCTGAAAGAATCTGGAAGTGGATTCTTTTCCAATGTCTCTAGATAAAAGTTTAGCCTGATCAACACCATAATTTCAGCTTTGTGATAACCCCAACATAGAATTCAGTTGAGGTCACCCAGACTTGTGACCTGCAGGACTGTGAGCTAATGAATGGGTGTTGTTTGAAGTTATTAAATCTGTGGAAATTTGTTTTGCAGCAAAAGAAAAGAAATATACCCCTCTTACTTAAGGAATAAATCTATCCCAAATTTGTGAGTAGCATCCCCACCAACACACACATGATTTTTCTGGAAGTAGATATTAGAAATTATTCTTTCAAGAAAAATGAACATTTTCTTAATGAGACACAGATATATAACCATTAAAGTCAGCACATGATTGAGGGATGGAATGAATCACATTCTGAACTATTGCTTCTGATGAGCATGTGTATTTATGTATACTTATGCACAACTACATTCAAAGCCTAAATTCTCATTCATTTCTCATATTAAAAATTGGTGTGATCTCTCACTCCTGGAACTTCATCTGGATTTATTTCTGACCCTTGTTATTTTATATTATATATTATATATTACACACATTTGCTTAATTGGAATTCTAAAAACCTGAATTCAAATTTCAGTTTCAATAGCTATCAACTATACACACTTCAAGTTACTAATTTGTATCCTCACTGTATACCAGGTTGCTTATTTACGTTATTCAAAGGGTGAGACAATATATCAAAGACCACTTAGCCTAGTGTTTAACACTTGATGTATGCAAATATTATTAGTAGAATCTGAACTGTGTCAAAGATAAGAATAATGATTTAGTCATTACTGTTTCCTCTATAATATTTGCCAGATTTTATTACATAAATGAAAAGTTCACATATTTTTATCTCAGAGTGTTTGGCAAAAACAATATTCTTATAAAGTTTTCATATATAGAAAATAGTCTGACTTACATGAAAATGCAAAACCTTTAAAGAATGTACATGTAATAAGTTCATATATATTTGTATATGTAGTTATACAAAACTTAAAGAGACTAGAGAAACTTGGAAACAATATATTTGGATTCCGGCTGGAGAAAAATATCTACAAATGACTGTTTATTGACAAATTGTTGAAATTTGAATATTGAGTACAGATAATTTTTTAGTTTCTGATTTTGTTAACTATACTGTAGCTATTTAAGATAATAAGCTTACTCTTAGGCTGAGCACACTGAAGTATTTAGGGGTTAAGGGTAACACTATCTCCAACTTACTCTCAAATGATTTAAGAAGAAAAATAATATACGTATATGTATAAATAAATAGATAAATAGAACAAAACACAGAGAGAGAGAGGGGATGATAAAACAAGTGAGACAAAAATATAAGCAGCTAGTAAATTTAGGTAAGAGTATCTTGGAGATTCTTGTACTAATCTTGCAACTTTTCTGTAAGGTGAAAATATAAAATAATGACATATTTCATAAAAAACAGAGTAGTATGCAATAAATGTATAACTTTCTAATGTATAATGATAATTGATATGAAATTTCAAAACAACTTACTAAGGTATAAAGGTAATTGATATGAAATTTTAAAAGACTCATTATTACAAACATTTCACTTAGTAAAATATTATAAATATGAAGATTAATACAAAATATAAAAATTTTAAATGCTGAAGACATCTGTTACAATATACAGTTATGCTGTAATAAAATGTGATAAAACCCATAAAACCTCATAGCATTTTATTAATGCCTTAAAGCTTCTATCATTTAAGATGTATAATTATTTGATGGGGTAAATCAATATGAAGTCCTCGCTGCACTAGTAGTCATTTTGGAGAAGTTGCATTAATAGTGCTACACCTCCTAGTCTGCCAGCCACGATAATTTTTTTGTTGTTGATGTGAGACAGAGTCTCATTCTGTCTCCCAGGCTGGAGTGCGTTGGTGAGATCTCCACTCACTGCAACTTCCACCTCCCGGGTTCAAGCAATTCTCCTGCCTCAGCCTCCTAAGTAGCTGGGATTACAGGCGCGTGCCACCACACCAGGCTGGTTTTGAACTCCCGACCTCAAGTGATCCTCCTGCCTCGGCCTTCCAAAGTGCTAGGATTACAGGCTTGAGCCACCGTGCCCAGCCCAGCCAAGATAGTTCTAAAGTCATAGAGGAACTTAGAAAACTAGTCAGTTAAGTTACATTACATCAATTTTATCTGCCACTTAACAATACCTTTCATACTTAAGTTTCTATAGATAAATGTTCTTAATTCTTAACCCAAATTTTTCAATAACAAATGTATTTTCCAAGGATATAACAGAACTATCTAATGTCAATGACTATGAAAGGTTTCTAAGGAGCAAGAGTTGAAAGGGGTGGCAATAATAATTACTTCCAAAATATTAATTATAATCCTTTTGTAGATATTTCATCTTAAAGTTGAATTATGCCAGCCATTAGACACTGAAGTATGATATTAAACTTTTTTTTTGGTCATTGGCTTAACAGTATTGTACCTTCAATTTGTATCGCATTGCTATTTGAAACTAGTCTTGCACATTAAGAGAAGCATTTTACTGTTTTCATTCAGCACTTCACATGAAAAAACATACTGTGCTAAATTTGTAAAAGCCTTATTTTTTATTTTTTCTTTGGATACTCACCAGAATGATCAGATCTGATTTTGACACATGCTTTCATTAACAGAGTATACATTTAAAATGTATATTGCTCCATGCACATGAACCTCTGCTTTCTTTTTACTCATTTTTAATTTTTTCTTTACTAATTTTGTAACTATTTTATTTCATGGCGACTGCATGTAGTTTTGTAAGCTCTATAAAATCTGTTTTTTAAAGAGATGAAGCAGGCTGAGCACAGTGACTCACCCTGTAATCCCAGCACTTTGGGAGGCAGAGGTGGGTGGATGCTTTAGGCCAGGAGTTTGATATCAGCCTTGGTAAGATGGTGAAACCTCATTTTAGTCTCTACTACAGTTAAAAAATTAGCTGGACATGGTGGCACACACCTGTAATCCTAGCTACTTGGGAAGCTAAGGCAGGAGAATTTCTTGAACCCAGGAGGCACAGGTTGCAGTGAGCCAAGATCGCACCACTGCACTCCAAGCTGGGCAACAGAGCAAGACTCTGTCTCAAAAAAAAAAAAAAAAGAAAGAAAGAAATGAAATGAAGTGTAATGGAAATAAAGCCTACCACTACGTGTCTCGGTATATACCAAGAAGCCATTTTGCCATAGTTCATCAGCAATGAAACTTTTCAGATATAGTGAGTTCTCATCTGACTACAGTCACCTTCCTCATTAAATTATCAGGTTTCCTTAATTCCTGCTTCTGCACCCATAATACCTGTATCATTTGGTACATATTTCCAAGAAAAGTGCATTCAATGCATGCATAGCTTCTTCATCGTATTAATAATAGAAAGAAGTTATTCTGCACAGCAAAAGTTAGGTTATGATATTAAGCATAACCTAGAACATTTACAGACAAACAGCACATCAAAGTGTAATCACTTTTTTGTATTGCAATCTTCATGTTTCTTCTTTGAATTGGTAATCAAATATGTTTCACATTACTCAATCTACTGATAGTTGGGTACTATCTCCTTTTCTTAAGAGTCAAAATCCTTGATAAATTTAAATTTCATCATCCCCCACAATAGAAAGGAAAACATAAGTATATAAAAAGCACTATTTATCCTTGTTATTTATATGACTAATGCACTGGCAAGAGGACATGTAAGAATCGGTGCTGGCTCTCTGAAACCAATGGAAGAATCACTTGGCCCTATGCAGAAGTTTATTATAATCATAAGTAGGTATGACGCCGCAATTTTCCTTGTATTTAGAGCACTGATAGGAAGCGAAAGATTATCCTCATTTACCATTCCAATATTCTTGGCAAAGTGGCTTTAAAACTGCTATACTTTGTGACAGAAATGCCTTCAATGTTGAAAGCATTGACTTGGAGATGGTTCACTACAGCTGATTTAATTAGTTTTGAAATAGAATAGTGATTCAAGTCTAGTTCTGAACTCAGTGAGACTTCACAATTTTGTAAATGTATCAGTGTATTTTAATATCTCATTAATTAAATCATCTGTATGTAATTATCCCAATTTGTCTAACAATTAAACTATTTTAGTATATCTACCATATCATTAACAATCCTTTAATGAATAATTTTGGTATCACACAATACAACAATAAAATAAAAATGTGCTCTGTTTTAAGATTTTAAAGATCACTAAAATCCTTGTACCCTAAAACAAGATAAGTGAATTTAGCAGGACCCTTTGTGTCCTCCTTAGAAGAGTGGAATTGTATCGTTGCTCTTTCTTTTAAAAGATAAACACTTTAGCAGGATATAACACTGTTTTGAGCAAGCTGCTGTCATTTTATTGTGCACATTTGGGTTTCATAAATGCTAACTTTAATGATGCAGTATTTCCTTTGTAAAATTATCTTTTATGGTGAATGAAGTAGTCATTAATTTCACCGTAGAGATATAATTTGTACATTTTAATATATTTTTCAACTAATCTATTTGTGTGAGTGTAGCAGCTGGTAGCTCCCAAAAGAAGACAAGACAGTAAAAACCCTACCTGAGTTCTATAATATCTTTGATTCCTCTTCCCTACCACATAAAACCAAGCTTTAAAGTTTTATTTCTCTGTTATGCTGGTATCATAGCTATTTTGTACACAAGTATATCCACGGTATATGAGGGTTGCATGGGTAGAGCAATTACACCAGATTGCACAATAGTTTGTTAATGCTCTATTACTTTTGCATGCAAATAGCTAAACTAAATAGTCTGGGACTCAGTCATTTTAGTTGTTCTTCTCCAATTTAATATGCTGTTTTTAAAAGTCTGCTCATCCAAATTTTTACTACACATATTTCCCTTTTTTTTTTCTATTTTCTCTTCACAGGTATAATTGAATATTTCTGAACCCACTGGTTTGTGGGTATATAAGAAAACACATAATGTACTATTTTTTTCTCCAGCAGGACAAAAAGGTTAAAATACTCTAGAGTTTCATTGTAAATCCTATAAATGGATTTAAATTAAAAAAAATTTTAATATATATTGGAGCAAAAATAACAAAAATAGCAAATGTATGACACGTATGTAACAAAAGCAAGTCAACTAAATGCAACACCTTCCAAAGAGAGTGCATTCTGGATAAAAGAAAGTTGAATTACTTATAAATTCAAGACTACTATCTACTTTTGTCTTGAGTAGTTCTCTCATAAGCAAAGTAAATTAATACAAGTTATTTACTTAAATTTGTTTGGAAAAAAATGATTCTCATTTTAAGTTCAATATTTAGTTAGCTGCCTTTTAACAGAATTAAAACAAAAAAGTAACCAAAACAGTCCACATGAAGTTGAGAAAAAAAAAATCTATAATATCATATGACAATGCTTCTTGATGAATTCAAGAATACACATTTATCAGCAGTTTAATCATGCTAAGTACTTTGGTGTCTTAATTCACTGGATGTTATCAAATTGCATTGATGAGGAACATTTCTGGGTACAAAGCTTTACTGCTTACTAAAGAAAAAATGACATCTTCAAAGATCAAAATTTTTAAAAAATTGTTTTAATTGGTAAGATAAGAACTGATTTGTATTTCTTTTAAGTAAATGTCCTTGATAATCTAAATGTATTTATGAACAGTAGAAAAGGAAAGTTTAAAAACTACTGATAAAACTTAATCATCCTCTTGTTGCCCTCGGCTCTTGCCCCTTTGTGCCTTCTTGGTAAAATTGTAATTCGGATACTGCTAATTACTCTACTGCAGTTTCCCTGGGCTGTGGATGGCAGAATGCAGATTGATGTTAGAGAAGAAGTATCATAACACTGCATAAGGCAGGCTTTTTAAATCATGGAGCCCAAGCAGAACTGGACTCTACCACTGAAATAAGGTAGGGAACTCACTAAAACAAAGAGTATATTTATCCAGAAATAATGTCAGACAGGGCAGATGGCACACAGATACAGAATACCCAGACAGAGAGGGAAAAACATGTTGCCTTTAACAGTCAGTGAAAACGCACAGAAACAGATAACAAGAGCTTGGGAAAGAGGAAATGCGGCTTGTATATACATAAAGGCTTTTCAACTTCTTACCATCTCCTTTGCAAAATTAAGTTGTTTGAAAACCCATTCATTGTTCACAGTATTTGTGTATGTATGCCTAAATTATTTATAAACATGTGCTTTTAATCTGGTTTCAATCTTTATTTTCTTCCAAAATTTTAAGGTAAATACATTAAGGCATCCAGGCAAGAAGAAAAATCTTGCACATGCTAGTCCTCCACACTCATATCCATCACAATTGCCAAAAAGGGCAAAAATGTAAAGGTAAGGAGTCAGTTGATGGACATTCCCAACTTTGGAAAACAAAACAGGTAGGAAGGACAGGCTCATTCTTGCCTCTTAAGCTGAGCAGTGCTGGAATTGCATCAGCAGCAAGAGAAGAAAGAACTTTCTCCTTGTCTTAATCTGTTTTTTGCTGCTACAACCGAATAGCTGAGATTGGTTAATTTATAAAGAACAGAAAGTTATTTTGTGCGGTTCTGGAGGCTGAGAAGTCCAAGATCGAGGTGCCCATATCTGGCTAGGGGCTTCTTACTATATCATTCCATGGTGGAAGGCAGAAACACAAGAATTTTTGCAGGTGAGATGAGAACAAAAGAGGAAGGCGCCCAAATTCATTCATTAGGAACTCAACTCCCACAATAACACGATTAATCTTTTCATGTGGGCAGTGGCCTCATGGGCTAATCAACTCCCAAACGTGTTACCTCTCAAAACTGTTGCCTTGGGGATTAAATTTCCAACACATAACATTTAGGGGACACATTTAAATCATTGCACTTCACAGACAAATATTTATACCAAGTAGGAACTAGAGCACTGTAAGAGAAGAAATATTTAGTTATAGCTGTGAACTGTATTGATTGGGTAGAGATGAAACTCACCGATCTGATTCTAGCTACAATTAGGACTTTCTCTCAAATCTCTTCAGGTGTCTGGATTTCCAAGGGGAACTTTAATCTATTTGTTTCTTGGTATTTTAAGTCACAGTTTCCCCTTAAGCAGCCTCCTCAAATGTCACCCTGTTACTACAAACCATTTATTAAAAGCTCCTCTGTTTTCACTCACAGTTGTTGAATGAGAGAAGACCTAATAGCTTATATGACCTGGTCTCAGAAGTGATATGCAATCACTTCTGTTGTGTTCCACTGGTCACACAGACAGTCCCAGATGTAATGCGGGATACTGCACAAGGTCATGAGTACCAGGAGGTAAGAATCACATGGGGCTATCTTAAAGCCTTGCTACCAAAAACTCCTTAATATTTTTGTTCCCTAGGAAAAGATGTGGACCTTTATGACTATTTTTTCTATAATGAAATGAGTAATGCTAAATGCATGTTATCAGCATATTTTTTATAGTTAGCTAATTTATCACTACAAGATTGATCTTGCCTGTTGTTAATTGTTATCACATCTCTTCTACTGACCTCTTGGCTGCAAATCAAAAAATTAATTTTTGGAGGAAAATAAGTCATTTTATGATACACTCATTATGATGGTTAATTGTGTTTGTCAACTTGACTGGGCTACAAGGTGCCATTTGGTCCTACACTCAATTTTCTGGATGTGTCTTTAAGGGTGTTTCGGAGTGAAGTTAACATTTGAATCTATAGAGTGAGGGAAGTATATTGGCCTCCTTAATGGACCGATGGGCTTCATCAATTCAGTTGAATGTCTGAATAAAACAAAAAAACTGATCCTTCCGGGAGTAAGAAGGAACTCCTCCTGCCTGACTGCCTTTCAGCTGAGACATTATGTTTTTCCTGCTCTCAGGTGTGAACTGAAGCATTGAATCTTCCCTCTAGGTCTCAGTTCTAATGGCTTTCGGACTGAAACTTATGCCATTGGCTCAGTTGGGTCTCCACCTTGCTGACTGCAGATCTTGGGATCTGTCAGCCTCCATAATTATATGAGCCAATTCCTTATGTCAGGTTGTCACTGAGGTCCAAGGGGGGTCTCTGGGCAAGTGGCAGATAGCTGGAAAAACACTCTAGGAATCGTAAACAGTTTCAACATGGCTTTTACTCTCTCTGTGGGTGCAAGGGAGCCATGAATGGCAGCAAGCTGTGGGTGCAAACAAGCCATGGGCACAAGCAATCCATGGACACATGCAAACTGTATGTACAGCATTAGCAGGGTAATTACACCTTTTACAGACAATAGTGACTCTGAGCCAAGCACGAGTGCACGTGAGTGGTTACTTAATGCACCTCGTGTGGTGTGGTTACCTAATATGTGGCATTGTGTACCTGTGCTCCAAACTTCCTGAGTCATGCTGGACCAGATGTCTGCCTTGGCCTATTCTGGACGGCAGTACATCCATTTTCCTTACACTCCACTTCCTAGGCTGAGGGAGACATAGGCCTTGGACACACAGGTCTGACATATAGGCCTTATACATAGCTTTTGGGCACACAGGTCCAACAAAGGCTGGAAACGTAAGCCTAACAAATAGGCTCTGGGCACACAGGCCTGATACATACACACAGGCCTGACACACAGACTTAACACATAAGCCTGACACATAAGCTCTGGGAACACCAGCCTGATACACAGGCTTGACTTATAGGTCTTGGCACACAGGTCTGATACAGAGGCTTGGCACACAGGCCCCTGACACACAGGTCCAACACATGTGGGCAACCACCCCATGGTTACATTACCCCAATGTTACTTTATACATTAAGCCAGGTTTTTTGTTCCCCTGCCCTTAGGGACATTGGGGCAGGAAGCAACAGGTTACAGTGCATTCCCATAGCTGGTTGGAGGAGGTCATCCTTCTTCCCATAGGTTTTGCCACATGGGTTGGCCCTATATGGGCCAGTGACTAACTAGTCAATTCTGTAACTTCCAAGTTAACCTCCTTGGTGATCACCATCCATACTGCTCTAAATTTAGCCAATTGGCTACTTTGTCCACACCTGGTTTCAAACCATATGGTGTCAGTACTAGGTTGGACTGCAACAGTGGTTCAGGCAGCAGTAGGACCTTGGCTGGACCCATCTGTGTACCATGCCCCATCAGGAATGGAGGGACACCCTTTCTTAAATGGCGATGGCTCAGGCTCTAAGGATGCCTCAGGCCCAATGGCCTTCTCTTGCATTAGGACTACAGGTCCCAAACTTCTTGCAACTCTGGTGCTAAAGGACTTGAACTCAGCATACTCCACTGTTCTCAGTAATCGCCCCACTTTGCTAAAGTGGATGTCTGTGCTGTCCGAATCCAGGGGTTCATTACCTATGGATGTATCCACCCCACTATTGGGTAAGTCATCCTCATAATGACTGTAGCCCATCTTGCCATGCTCTTATGAGCCTAAAGGGCAGCATATGAAGTTACTAACTGCTTCTCTATTGGTGAATACCAGAGCTCTTCTCACTCCCACAGTTGGGACAAAAAGCCAACTGGCATTCTCGAGTGCTTCATGCACTGCCACAGGCCCCAACCAAAACCATCTGTGGTCGTGTGCACATCCAGCTCAAACAGGTGCCCCTGGTCAACTACCTGTAAGGCTTGGCCCTGCTGAATAGCCTGCTTGGCTGTCAGGAAGGATGTCTCAGCTGCATCATCTTAATTCTAGGCAAAAGGAGCACTGCCACTTCTAAATCGGCAAGAGAATCAGAAGTTAGCATAATATCATTAGCAAGACCACAACACGTGGTGAAACTATGCACACAGCCCCGCAGCAACACTGTGAAAATCCATTGTTGCCCTCCCATGAAGGCAAACCATTCCTGGCTCTCTAGAGCAATGTCGATTGAGAAGAATGCATTGGCCAAATCTACCACATAGCGGCACCATCCCAATTCTGTAGTCAAATGGTCCATCAAATCCGTGACAGATGGCACAGCTGCCAAGCCATGTAAAATATCCAACTCCCAGAATGTATTCAGGTATGGAAGAGACATACACAGTATGGAAGCATGAAGCCAAACAGCCTATGCCAAGGTTCAAAAATACAGGTTTCACTTTCATTGACCAGCTTTCATAACTGTCTATGTATGCAGCTTTGCCCAGAAAATTATTTGGGTGCAGGGACTAGTGGATTGCTAAGTCCACATGTTGCCTCCGGTCATCTGGTGTCCCCCAAACCCGGGCACCTCAGCCACTTCCCTAATCAAGTAGAAAAGGCTCTACATTTCCTCCTGGCTGCAGCAAGTAGTCTTTGAGTTGAAGCATCCAGGCAGGACCAGGTCACACAGCAATGTCTTTCTCCCCCCTGGGCATTTTCTGAAATTTCTGGTCCACAGACAGCTGTCTCCATAAAGTGAAGAGTACTTCATTGGGCTGCTTATTGATTTTCTTAGTCAACCCCAGCCAAAACCAAATCTATCCACATCTGTGAGCATGTCACTCGTTGGGGCTCCCTTTTTACCCATGGTGGGGTGGCCCTGCAGGCAAGGCATCTTCCCCTTCTTTAAGGCATAGACCCCTTGGTCCTGCCAACAGCCTTCTGCTTCCCTGAGAGCCACCATATCAGTGGTCACTTTACATATGTGGTGCCCTACATACGGGAGAGGACAGTAACTGGAGAGACAAAAGTGCTCGGGCGCACAGAGCCCAACATGAGATCCTTCATATGGGAGGTGAAACGTCCATCAGCTGGCTCCGGGTATTCAGGTCAAATACAGCCTGTTGCATACCCATCTCCTGGATGACTTGCACCAAATCTGCATACAACTGTGACTTTCAGGTATTTCACCAGCATCATTCCACACAGTCCATATGACTGCCCACAGCCACTCGATCAGGGTGTGGTCACCTTGCCCTTATGCCAACCACCTACTTACTTGCAGCTGCTGATGGAGAGAGGAGTGAGTCTTGATAGATGCCAGCTTCTCCATCTCAGAGGTGGAACAGGATTTATTATCTGCTGCCTCATCCCAGCAATAGCCAATTCTCTTTCTGACAGTCATGCTAATTATTATTTTATAAACTATAAATAATACAAACACACTCCTCTGTTTCCTGTCTCACAGGTGATCCTTTGGATGTTTTTTAGGGCTCATGGCCCTATGTGATACCTTCTACTTGTACCCACAAGCACACACTCCTCCTGACTGTACTCTTCTCATATAGCTCTCTTGCTCCATTCTTTTGCTCCAGTTATACCGGCTTTAATAATATTCCTCAATGCACCAACAGCATCCCTGCTTTGGAGTATTCTCTTGCTGCTCCCACTGCCTGGAATTGTTTCTGCCATTATGCATTGTTCCGTCATTTTATTTTTTTGCCTTTGTCCAACATAACAGTAGCAGAGAGGCTCTCTCTAACCACCCCATCTTAAATCGCACTTCATTCCCTCATCACTTTCTTTCCCCTTGCCCTTGATTATCCTTCTTCCTAAACCCTTTGGCTTCCAGACTTATTATATATTTATTTTCTGATTTAATTATTTGTATCTCTTTAATAGAGGCTATGCTTCATAAAAGCAGGAGTTTTGTGGGACATTTTCTTCCCAGAAGCAAGAGCAGTGTTTTCAGTCCTTCACCTTCTGTTCAGCCTTCAAGCAAAGCAATATAACGCTTGTCTTCTAATGTCTGTGATAGTTCTCATTGAGAGAAAAGCTGGAGTGATGGCAGAGACTGATGTCAGAGTGTGCTTTTCTGATCTGTACCTCTCTCCTGCCCCAACCAGTTATTTAAAAGGCAAAAAAAAAAAAAAAGCCAGATATCAGAGAGAACAGAGAACTGTTAGCTATTAGACATACATTTCTATTTAAATATGTATTTTATTTTGTAACTGTCATACGCGTCCATGTGAAGAGACCACCAAACAGGCTTTGTGTGAGCAATAAAGCTTTTCAATCACCTGGGTGCAGGTGGGCTGAGTCCAAAAAGAGAGTCAGCGAAGGGAGATAAGGGTGGGGCCGTTTTATAGGATTTGGGTAGGCAGTGGAAAATTACAATCAAACGGGTTGTTTTGTGGCCGGCAGGGGCAGGAGTCACAAGGTGCTCAGTGGGGGAGCTTCTGAGCCAGGAGAAGGAATTTCACAAGGTAACATCATCAGTTAAGGCAGGAACTGGCCGTTTTCACTTCTTTTGTGATGCTTCAGTTGCTTCAGGCCATCTGGATGTATATGGGCAGGTCACAGGGGATATGATGGCTTAGCTTGGGCTCAGAGACCTGACAGTAACTCCATATGTAATTTTGCAGTTATAATAATTATTTTTCTTAAGGCCCTAAAACTGAGTATAAGTAGTTTGATTTTTGGTGGTTATATTTTTGAAGCATAGAAATAAATCTGGCATGCTACTCTATTTCACTAAAGAATCCTCTTCCAAAATGTGGTTCTCTAGGAAATACATTTTTAATTAGGACCTTTTGTGATTTATTTTTTAAATCTAGATTTGCTTTTATATCATTTACTTAATGTAGTATTTGGTTCTAATAATACTAAAAAAAAAAAAAGTAATCACATAACACCATGCTGTAGGCTGAAACAGAATAGAGTTTTGGAAACTATCATGTATAATTTTGGATCTTTCCAGTTTAGCTTTTGATTCTAATTTAATTTTCAATTTATGCCTAATGTGCTTCTTAATATGTAAGTAGATTTTTCTCCCTATAGTGCTGTTTGACTAGCTAAATATTTAGGTTCAGTTAAATCTTCCTAAAAATGTTCTACCTAGGCAGACCTTTCTGTTATCTGCAGTTAAATTTGTTTCCATTGAAGTGATCTTCAGTTCTCAACATTTGTTATTTATGGGCTTTGTTTTCATAGTTCTCTACCCTGGCAGAACATGCTTTCTTTGAAGGCAGCTAGAGTTGGTATCATCTCAAGTATAAATGTAGGTGGAACATGAAAAAGTTTGAGTAAACATTAGATATTAATTTCCACATTTGTTTAATAGAGAAGAACACTGACTTTAATAGGCTCACTGTCCAGTAGTGACTATAAACATATACAATAGTTTACATTTAACTATTTGTAAAATCATTATTAAAAAATACAAAAAGCTAATAACAATGTATGCCAATGAGGGAAGAGAGAGACCCTCTCATATTGTTTTATATTGTTTTATACTCAGTACCTGTTTTAAGAAAAAAACAAGGAAGTGAAATCAAAGACAGGCAGCCCCGCACGAGGCCCAAAACCAGGCCTGGGACTGCCTGGCCTACACCCAGTAGTTAAAAATCAACTCCTAACCTAGAAACTGATGTTATTCAGAGATTCCAGACACTGTATAGAAGAACATTGTGAAACTCCCTGCCCTGTTCTGTTTCTCTCTGACCACCAGTGCATGAGCCCCTGTCATGTACCCTTTGCTTGCTCAAATCAATCACGACCCTTTCATGTGAAATCTTTAGTGTTGTGAGCCCTTAAAAGGGACAGAAATTGTGCACTCGGGGAGCTCGGATTTTAAGGCAGTAGCTTGCCGATGCTCCCAGCTGAATAAAGCCCTTCCTTCTACAACTCAGTGTCTGAGAGGTTTTGTCTGTGGTTCATCCTGCTACACCAGATCTCTAGCATTCATCAGAGATTGTCTCGCTTTTAAGAACAGATTGTTCTCCAGTCAGTAACTGGAGAAAATGCATAATAAAATATTTAAATGCAGCATTTATTTTATATAAATATGAATAGATAATACCCCAAGGGTTGTTTTTCCTCAATCAATAATTAATTAATTAAATAGCCCACTATCTAGCACTTAAGCACTAGCTAAAATGAGGGGCATATGAAAGAAAAAAAGTGGTCATTCTACAGACCTTATTATAATTTCTATTTTTCACAAGAAATGGAAATATACTAACTTAAAGTACAAGACTGACACGATCATCATAACAGTAACACAAAGCTGAGATTTTTAAATTTCTGCAAGATGGTAAATTTACAAGGTTACAGTTCCTCTCAAATGAAATCAACTATTAAACATAACATTTGGTCAGAGGAGGTCATCTTCTTCCCATAGGTTTTGCCACATGGCTTGGCCCTAAATGGCCAACACAGCATTGGGAATTTACAAATTTGAATTTATTGTTAAACAACAATAGCAAAAATTGTGGCAACACAGCATTGGGAATTTGTTGGTTCTGAAAGATGTTGATTTAATCTGGAGCAGAGGTATCCAGGAAGAATTTTTTGACAAATTAGAATAAAAGAATACATCTCCCTGGAAAAACACATGCTCACACCAAATTGCATAAATCAGCAACACTAGCAAAAGCTTTTATTCCAGACCAGTAACTCAGCAGTCTTGCTCTGTTCAAGTGTTGAGTAAACAGTTCGGTGATTAACTACCCTGGGGCATTCACTCCCATGCACTTTCTCTTTTCAACCCCCAGGAGTAGTTCAGAGCTCACCCACCAAGCCATTTAACCTGAGGAGCTGGAGAGAATGTTCTGTCTCAAGGAATATTTGCTAGCCTTTTAGCAAATGAAAATGAGTCAGAGTTTTCTTCTGATGTCTAGGGTTTTGGTATCACTTTGTAGTTGCATACTCAAATAACAAGACATCTGAGGAGGCAAACTAATTTAAAACAAACAAAATATTAAACAAAACAACAGGAACAACAATGATCAAAAGGAAAAATTTGATTACAGATACCACTAGATGTAGAAGTGTTCCATTATAGGCATCGATGATAAAATAATGAAAATATATCATCAATTTAAAGCAAAATATATAAGTCATTTTACAAATGGGCTTGTTTATATATAAAATTATGTATAGTTGAAATTTGTTTACAAGATGGCAAAAATAGTGAAGCAAATGTATCTGAATACTAAATTATGGGTTAGAAAAACAAATGTAAGTTCTTTGTAGAAAAGGTTTCAATAAATTAAAAACAAATTAAAATTAAGTAGAATAGATGTAGAAAAATTAATAACGGGGTAAAAAATTCAAAGATCTAAAAAAAATAAAATGGAAATATTTAAATAAATAACAGAGATAAATTATCTTGAAACAAAAGCACATAAGATGCCAAATAAGAAAAATATGAAAAATTGTCACTGGAAAACATTTTAGTGAAATTCAAGACTATCAAGGACAATAAGAAAATTATAACAACTTTCAAGGTATGGTCCTATCACTTAGAAAAAATAGCAAGGATTAACATAATATTCACAGCAAAAACTTAAGATATGAAGCAATTGCAATTATATATAACATTATATATAAAGAATTATATAATATATAACATAAATAAATATAAAATATATAATTTGTATGTATAGAATATATATTATATGTGTATATATGGCAGAATATAATATATAATATATCATATTCTATATACATTTATAACATTATATATGATATATATTATGTAATTATGTATATATACCACATCTAAGATATATTTTATACAAATGAATTATATTTTTTATATTTATTCATATAGATTAAACATTGTATGCATGAAAAAGAAAAATATGGTTGGGAGACTGTATCTAGCAGACATTTTGACATCTTATAAACATCACTCATCGAAGTAGTTTTGTGTGGATACAATAAAGATTTTGAAGCAGCAGTTGATATACATAATATCTTGCTATATGAGAGATCAGTGAAAAAGAGAGAATATTCCATAAATAATGTTGGAAAAATGTGTTATCTTGTATCAAAAAATAAAAATGGATTTCAAAAATTCATTCCATCTCACATACACAAATTAAAGAGCGAAATGGGGATGTCAACATTAAAAATTTTAAATTGTAAAATAATACTTTATGACCTAGTGCTAAAGAAGTATTTTAAAACACACATGAAAATGTAAATAATGATATATTTGAGGACATTAACATTTCCTAAAAATGTGTCATGACTAGACAAGCCAAAGAATAGGAGAAAATAATTAGAATATGTTATTATATTTATGTTAAAATTGATTTTAACTTGTTCATTCAAGTTAACTAGGTATAAAGTTGAACTGTATAAAATGACTTAAAATCATCTGGGTGCGGTGGATCACGCCTGTAATTCTAGAACTTTGGGAGGCTGAGGCAGGCAGATCACAAGGTCAGGAGTTCAAGACCAGACTGGCCAATATGAGTAAACCCCGTCTCTACTAAAAATACAAAAATTAGCCTGGCATGGTGGCAGGCGCTTGTAGTCCCAGCTACTCAGGAGGCTGAGGCAGGAGGATCCCTTGAACCCAGGAGGCGGAGGTTGCAGTGAGCTGAGATCGCACCACTGCACTCCAGCCTGGGCGACAGAGTGAGACTCCATCTGTAAAAAATAAATAAATAAAATAAATAAAAACACTTAAAATTACTTCAAATATTTTAGGATAATAAATGATCAAATATTGTAAATTCTCCGTGCTTTAAATATATATATACTCTATGATCTCAGGATTTCTCTTCTAGGTATTTGCCAAAGAGAAATCCATGTGTGTGCACGCCCACCAGTCCATGAACAGAAATTGTCTTAGTATTAATATTTACAAATAAAATGCTAGGAATAACTCCTTTACAGATCAACAATAGAATGAATAAATACATTTTGCTATTTGTTTAACCAAGTTTATACATCAGGAAAACAAATTAACTCCAATACTATATAAGAAAATTGCATAAACCTGTTATGAAATTTTTAGAAAATCCACAGGAGAGTATGCAAGTATGACTTCATCAGTGCAGACAAAACCTGATAAAAATGACAAATGAAAGCAAGACATTTTTTAGAGGCTTGTAAATTTGTGATAAGGATATAATGATATGCAAGAGGATTACTAACATGATAGTTGTTTTCTGCAGGAAACAGTATAGCCAGTGGTGTAAATTGGGAAGCATTTTCAAAGGCTTCAATGGCTCTCTTTTAGGTTGAGTGGTGGTCAATTATTCACTTTTATTTGTATGTATATTTTGTGTTTTTTAATATTTAAAATAGGTAAACGTGATTGATAAGCAGGGTTTATTATTTCAGGTGAAAAGAGTGCTTTGCGGGGGGGTCAAAATTAGATAAAGGAATAAAAAAAGGACAGTGTGGCAAGATCATAGATAAGAAATATAAGAAATTGAATTGTACTAGACCTTAGGCATCTTGTGAGTAGTAATAAAGAATTTACAGAGTTTAGATTTTACTCTAATCATAAAAGAGAGCAATAAACCAATTTAGATTTTTTTTAAATATGTCAATCTGGCTGCTGTATGGGAAAGTTTGTGTTTTATTCTTCTCCAGAGTAAACAGTAGATGTGAAAATACCAATTTGGGAATTCTTACAGTAACCCCTGTGGCAGATGTTGGCTTGGATTCATTTGATTGTCACAGGGCTGAAGGGAAATAGACGGCTTTGAGCTATAATTTACAAGACTTCATGATGGATTGGATCTAGTGGTTTAAGCAGAAGCAGCTGTTGAACAATGTTTCAATGTCTTCAGCTTGAGTGACTGAAGGAAGGACAATCTATTAATGTAGAAAACCTAATAGGAATAATTGAATTGTGAATAGGGCTAGATTAAGATTTTCAGTTTGGATATGTTATATTTGGGCATATTATGTTGTGTTTAAATACTGACATGCTACTTTCTGTGAACTAGCTGAATGGAAAGATTAAGTAATCAGTTTGAATTATGTATCTGGAGAGCAGGAAAGAAACATAGCCTAAAAACAGAGAGTCATGGCTTGGAGAGACCCATGAAGGCCTGGGAATGAATGAAATCACCTAGAGAGAGGGTGAGGAAAGAAAGAAGTCAAGGTCTGAGGTGGTGATACTTAAGCAAGATGAAGTGGAAGAATTAGAAACAAAGAGAATGAGAAGGAATGGCCTGAGAAGTAAAAGAAACAAAATATGAAAACATAGCGTCAGAGAAGTCAAGAGAAAAGTATTTTCAAAAAGAATAATCTTGGACAAATGCTACAGTGAAATCGGGATAAAGGAAGACTAGTAAGTGTCTACTAGATTTGGCAAATGCAAGTCACTGGTGGCAGTAATAAAGAAAAGTTTGAGTGGTACAGTCAGTGTGGAGTACTGAAGAGTGGATGATAGTTAAGGGAGAGAAGATGATGTGTGCAGTTAACCCTGTAAAGAAGCTTCAGTTTGAACCCCAGGTGGAAAACTTGACAGCTTGTTATACAATTGTGCAATGGAAAATCAGGTTTACTTTTTTTTTTTCACTATTTTTTTTTTCTCATGAATCCTAACCTTGCTGGATAGCATGGAGTAAAGAAGCCTTAAAATTGACAAGCTTTGTCTGGTTTAGGCAACCTGTTTCTGGTAGTTTATTTTCTTTTAAATAAATGTGTTCAGCAAATATTCTCTCCCCTCTTTACTTCCTTCCAAAGATGGAACATGAAAATCCGGGGCTGTGTGATGGTGGGGGTAGTGGTTATAGCTACCTGCCCCTGGGGTAGAGGAAAAAGGACTCTTGGATTTGTATGTAAGCAGCATTTATTTTGTCTTCTGGGTCCATCATGTTGATACATCATGACAAAGCTAGATTCTGTGCACCTACCAGGCATTTCTATGTAAAGTCTACAGCTGGAATTCACAGCTACTTTGATCAATAAAGTCTTAGACAAGGGTGTCAAATATAGATAAAATAGCTATGATTAGTACATGGAGGATAATTAATAAAATAATTATGGAAATTAGAAGTAAATTAATTTTCTGCCAATGTTTGATACATGCTTTTAAATGTCAACCAAAACCCAGCTCTATCTATACAAGCCCAACCTTTGGTCAGTATCTTGTCAACAAGCAAACACTACTACTTTTTTTTTTTTTTTTTTTTTTTGAGACAGTCTTACTCTGTTGCCCAGGCTGTAGTGCAGTGGCGTGATCTTGGCTCACTGCAAGCTCCACCTCCCAGGTTCAATCGATTCTCCTGCCTCAGCCTCCCGAGTAGCTGGCACTACAGGCACCCACCACCACGCCTGGCGAATTTTTGTATTTTTAGTACAGACAGGGTTTCACCATATTGGCTAGGCTGGTCTTGAACTCCTGACCTTGTGATCTGCCCGCCTCAGCCTCCCAAAGTGCTGGGATTACAAGCGTGAGCCACCGCACCTGACTTACTACATTTTTTTATGTGATGATGATAACCAAGCCTAATACACACAAACGCAATGTGCTTATTTTCTATGTATTCATTCATTCCTTGATTGATGCTTTTACTAAAAAATTTGGAAATCTAATATTGCTGAACCCCATACTAACTGATAATGACTGAAAAATGAGTAACAGTGGCACTCTACAACAGAATGTTAGAGTGTAACACAAGCAACAACAACAACAAAAAACACTAAATGAATGAGTGCAGACTAGAAGAGAAACACTTACAAAATTTTAAGTTTGCTATAATGTATAAAACCACAAAATTGCTTGGAAATAACTAATACTATATGTCACCATATATTAATCCACTACCTGGTAATTCAATCACTTAGTAATTTGGATCACTGTGGATTGGTTTACATTTAATTAATCTTTTTCATTTACACTCCATGTATGAAAGTAAGTAGTATTTTATCAATGATAGGAAGTCACTAGCAAACCCACCGGCAGGCAAAGATCCTTATAGACACACACACACTGCTCTCAAAGCTTGACGTCTCTCTTAAAAATTAATTAGGAAAAAAGAACTCCAACTTAAAAGAGCTCATAGTCTCAGTTTCAAGAAGCGGTTTCTGTCTCTTTTTTTTTTTTTTTTTTTTTTTGAGACGGAGTCTCGCTCTGTCGCCCAGGCTGGAGTGCAGTGGCGGGATCTCGGCTCACTGCAAGCTCCGCCTCCCGGGTTCACGCCATTCTCCTGCCTCAGCCTCCCAAGTAGCTGGGACTACAGGCGCCCGCCACTACGCCCGGCTAATTTTTTGTATTTTTAGTAGAGACGGGGTTTCACTGTTTTAGCCGGGATGGTCTCGATCTCCTGACCTCGTGATCCGCCCGCCTCGGCCTCCCAAAGTGCTGGGATTACAGGCGTGAGCCACCGCGCCCGGCCCGGTTTCTGTCTCTTTAGCTAAATACATGGTGGGATGAAACTGCAGGGGACAGCAAATGCTGTTCCTAATGTTTTGGGATCTGTAATCCTATCCAATATTAAACAAGTCTCCATCAATGAGTGTATTAGTTTCCTAGGGCTACCATAGCTAAACAGTACAAATGTGGAGGAGAGGAGTAGGTATAAGAAGAGAAATATATTGTTTCACAGTTATAGATATCAATAGTCCAAAATCAGTCAAGATATTGGCAGGGCCTTATTCCTTCTGAAATTTGTAGAGGACAATTCCTTCCTTGCCACTGCCTAGTTTAGAGTGGTTTGCCAGTAACCTCTGCATCTTTTGGCTTGCAGCTGCAACATTTCAATCTAAGCCTCTGTTGTCACATGGCATCTCTCCTATGTGCCTCTGTCATTACAAGGAGTCTTTATCTTCTTAGAAGGATGCCTGTCGCTGGATGGTCCCTGGATGGCCTTGGCTGACCAGTTTCTCCCCTGTTTAATTCCTGCCTGTAATTCTCAGAATAATTGTAGAATGCACTGGGAGTACAATATCCTGAGATAAGGAGGAACTGCCTGGGGGAGGCTACGTTTTGATTCTCTCTCCTCTGGAAGGAAGATGTTCTTCCGAGCAATGCCCAGTGACTTCCGTGGACCCTGAGGTATGTAATCTGGGGTGGGCTACTTTCAGGGTTCCTCAGCTATGGTGCAATGGAGAATCCCTCTGCTTCCTTGGGGGGCTTCTTTCTTGAGCCTAAAGGAATGACTTACAGTGGATTCTAGGCTTCCTTTGTCCCCTGCTGTCTCTGTAAGAAATAAATGTGCTTCGTTTAACTTGTTGTGTGTGAGTGTGTTCTGTCTCACCAGACTCAGGCAATTGATAAAAGTGCAGCCAGAATGTGGTGGAGGTGTTTGGACTCCTATTCTCAGTGGTTGCCTTAATGATAATCTTTGCCATCCCCCAAGCTGTGAGTTCTCCTTTGGGACCAATTATTAGTGAACCTTCTTCACACGGTCATATTAGATTAGAACCAATCTCTAATTACCTCTTCTTAACTTTATTAACTGCAAAAATCCCGATTTCCTAATAAGGTAACAATCTGAGATGGTGAGGACTTCAACATATGTTTCTGAGGGACACTAATCGGCCCATAAGAATCCACATTGACATGAAAAGATAGAAGGAGTGACAGGGAGGTTATCAATGTGAACAGATCTGTTCTCTTTTTCTGATAGACAGATCTGTAACTGGGGAAAGAAAAGTCCTTTCTTCACTGGTAGTTTTTCTTTCTCTTCCCCTTACTAATCATCAAAGGCTGCAAAATGAGTGTGTATGAATGTGTGTGTGTGTGTGTGTGTGTGTGTGTGGAGAGAGAGAGAGAGCAAGCGAGCAACCCTTATGTCTCCTTAGGCGCTTTTACTCTCTTTCTGTCTCTTCCCCTCCCTCTTTCTCTGTATACATATATATGATACTATAGGAGAGGAATGTTAGTGTTTGATTAAGCAATGTTTCTGGATACAGATGACTATTCAAATTAAAAAGTCACTTTCCTGTTTGTGCACTTAGAAGTGATTTTGATCTTGCCACATCATTTACCATGAAGCCAACACTCCAATTCAAGAAGAATTGTTTTAAAAATGAAACACATAGCATTTTTACCTCCCTGAGCCTGGGAAAAAATTGCCAGGGTCAGTGCCTTGTGGACTTAGCTACAAAACCTTATTCCTGCTTCTTTTTGGTCAAAGGAGGGAGCCATCAATTCTTCTGAAATTGTTGCTGTCAGTAGCTTGCTGTTAAGATGTTTATATCTTAATCCAGAGGTTACTAACTATCAAATGTGAGTTGCTTGCAAAGACATAAATGCTAGGAGATCATTAGAATATTTAACTAAAGTAACTGTGCTTAGAAATTTCGTTTCTAAATATTGAATTATTTACTATGCAAAAAAAGAAAATGAAACTGACCTATGGTGGCAGGGCTTTTTGGTAGGTTGTATTGTTACCTGCGGGTCTCTGCTCCCAGAGCTCCCAAGATGGTGGCAAGCCTCTTGCTCTCTGACCTGGGGTTCTTGGCCTCAGGGATTCCAAGGAATGGAACCTTGGGCCGTGCGGTGAGTGTTATAGCTCTATTAGAAGCCGTGGGTCACTGAAGAGAACTGTGGAACCCAGCGTCTAGTGTTCGGCTCAATTAGGACTAACCTGGGCACTTAGCTGCGCAGGAACAATGGCGATCCCCTAGCCCTATCCGGAGCAGCAATGGGCGCCTCCCTGGATCAGAAGCTCAGGGGACACCCTGCTGGATCCGGAGGGGTGGAAGTCAGTGATGGGTCTGCGACGACGGCGATCAGCAGTGGTGGACGGTGAGCAAAAGCTCAGCTCCAGCCAGAACAAACACGGAGGGGAAGAGCGTACAGCTGCAACATTTAATAGAGTGAAAACAGAGCTCCCATAAAATAGGAGGGGGCCCAAAGGGGTACCCCGATTGGGCTCGAATGCCTGGGTTTATATCCCGATCATTGTCCCTCCCCCTGTGCTCTCAGGCGATACATGATTTGATTATTTCTTTACCCCCTGTTTTTAGCCTAATTTGTATTTTAGTGAGCCCTCTTTACTACCTGATTGGCCTGGTGTGTGCTTAGTTACAAGCCCCGTGTTTAAAGGTGGGTGCGGTCACCTTCCCCAGCTAGGCTTAGGAATTCTTAGTCAGCCTAGGAAATCCAGCTAGTCCTGTCTCTTACTATGACATCTGCTCCTACCTATAATTGAAATGAGCCAGGAAATTTAAAAACAATTTTTAAAGAATTCAGCTAAATAAAGCTAAACCATCTTATGATGAAGGTTTATGCAAGGCAGGCAATATTTGTAACAAATTATGATTAGATGTTAAATATATTGAAGAGATAACACTTAAAATTAGTGCTTTTTATGTTCTCACTTAAAAGTGGGAGCTGAACAAAGAAAACACATGGACACAGGGAGGGGAACAACACACACTGGGGCCTGTTAGGGGCTGGCAGGGGGAGGGAGAGCATTAGGAAATATAGCTAATGTATGCTGGGCTTAATAATTCGGTGATGAGTTTATAGGTGCAGCAAACCACCATGGCACATGTTTACCTATGTAACAAACCTGCACATCCTGCACATTAAAATGAAAATTAAAGTTAAAAAAATAAATAAAATAAGTGCTTTTACATTTGTCTGTAAATGAAATGCATATAGAGGATGTAGCCCCTTCTTTTAAGTCAAAGCTATCTATGCAAAACTTCCCCAATTCCTAAATAAATATTCTTGAACCACAGAGGCTTCTCCTATTATACATCATGAGAGTTTTCATGAAAAAGATCCATGAGATATCAGAATCTTTCTTTGAAGTCTCTATGTACAGAATTATTTTTGCTATGAATACACTACAGGTACTAAATGCTGGAATTGGAAAAAGTGAAAGATGAAACAATTCATATTATATCACTCTATTTGCTGTTCTTTAATCATGTAAAACATTACAGTATTTCTAGCTAGAAATTCCATTTGTGCTTATCTGCTCAACCCTACAATTTTGCAGATAAGTCAACTGAAATAGATATGTTTACTTTTTCTATCTAAGTGGATTGTAAAATACGAAATGTCAAAGAATGCATTTTACATGTTTTATAGTTTGGTAGAAAGAGTGCTGAACTGGGAATTAAGTAGAATAAGAAATGTCTTTTTCAGTAAAATATGGGAAGTTTTTTCATTGTACTGTGAAATTTCCAGAAATGATTCTTATTTGCCTTCAATTTCTAACCTCATTGTAGTATCTCTTCTGAGATTTCTTTACTAACTGTTTATAAAATGATTACATGAATAATAACAGATTTCGGACGTTATATAAGCACTTATTTATACACAAATTATAATGAAAATATTCCATTTATTTTTAAAATAAAATTGAATTTTAGAATAGTTAGACTTAAAGCATAGCTGTGACAATAGTCAGAGAGTTTCCATATAGTCACACCTGATTTCTCTTATTATTAACATCTTAATACAATGCATGGTACAATTGTCACAATTAATAAATCTTATTACTAACTTATAAATTAATAATTTATATAAATCTTAATAATATTATTAACTCAAGGCTACTCTTCATTCAGATTTCCTATTTAATGTCCTTTTCTCTTCTAGAATTCCATAAATGATATGACATTACATTTAATTTTCATGACTCCTTAGACTTCTCATGGCTGTGGAACATCAAGTCAATTTCTCAGATTTTCCATGTTTTTTGTAACTTTGACAGTTTTGAGCAGCACTGTATTAGTCCGCTGGGTAGGACTGCCCTGATATTATACCATAAACTGGGTAGCTTAAATAAAATAAATTTATTTTCTCCCAGTTCTGGAGGCTGGAAAGTACAAGGTCAAGGTGTCAGCTGATTCAGTTTCTGGCAAAAGCTCTACTTTTTGCTTGTATACAGGTACTGTTTTTTCGTATAGTGAAGAGACAGAGAGAGCCCCTCTCTCTTCATCTGCTTAGAAGCTCACAGTCTTATCAGATTAAAGCCTTGCCCTTATAACGTCATTCATCCTTAATTAGCTCCCAAAGTTCCTTTCTCTAAATACAGTCGTATTGGGGGTTAGGGCTTCAACATATGAAATTGAAAAGGGGGCAGAAGTCTATATCACTTATTGATCAAGTATTGTGTTTAATGTTCCTTGATTGTGGTTTGCTTGATATTTTTCTCATTATTAGAGTGAGGTTACGTGTTTTGCGGAGGAAGAATAAGAAAGGTGAAGTGCCACTCTCATTATACCATATCAAGGGCACATGCTATGGACCTGACTCATTAATGTTGCTACTAACCTTGCCCATCTGGGGTACATAGTGTTTGTCATGTTTCTTCACTGTAAGTGTACTCATTTCTCCAGTTTCCATATTCTGTGCTTTGGAAGTAAGTCTCTATGAGCAGCTCACGCTCAAGGAATGGGAGTCATGCTTTATCTTTTTGAAGGCAAAATATCCACAATAGTTATTTGGAATTCTTTTGTACAGAAAATTAGCCAACTTTCCATTTATTTACTTACTCATTTATTCACTAATTTGTTTTTCTCAGTTGGGATTCATGTATGTTTATTTTGTTAGTTGGGTTATAATTCAATATTACTTTATACTGTTGCTCAAACTGTTTCATCTATGGTCATTGAAAGTTTTTTCAAATGGGATTTGAGTTCTTTATCTCTTCACATATTTTTATTGTTTCATGGTGTGTGTGTGTGTGTGTGTCTGCATGTGCGTGTTTGCACATCAGCACTTACTAACTTTCTGGCTTTATAAGATAATCTGGGCTCATTTTGCTTATTTATTGCTCCAATTCTAGAACCCAATAATTCTCTAAGGAGACTTGGTTTCTTTTCATAGAGAATGGTATTAAAAATAAATATCTAAATGTAAGTTGATTCTATTAAATTTCGATGTAAATTTTACAAATTAGAAATGAACTCAGTTGTTACTTTGCATATTGAAAGTATTTTTAAAACACGTGTTATTCAAATACTGCTTTTGTCAAATTTTAATATTTTATTAACATTATGTCTTTCCCAATTTGTGTCAAACTGATAATTTTTCTGTATATTTAAAAAAGCCGTCAGAATAAGACATACATTTCCTTAAAGTATACCATTTGATATATAAAGTATAAAGCATTAGGAAAAAATTAGCTGGAACTTCCAGTTTTAACTCCAAAAGAAAAAACTTAGAAGTAATTAATCTTTTCCTTAAAAAAAAGTGGGACGAACTTAAAATCAATGACTTTTCTTTGATCCATCAGAGAAATTAAGTCAAAGGTGAAAATGCCACCTTGAAATCTGGATACATAGGTGCAGAAAGTTACACCAAGTGCTGTTTTCCAGAAACATAAGCCACCGAAGCCATAAGCAGATAAGTATACGTAAGGGATAATTTTTGGCAATTCACTAATAATTTTGATAATTTACCAGAGGCTGGGTGTAGTGTAGATTTTTATGAAAGCAAGAAACTTGTGGGTGCACCAAGCTTTTTCTCTAGGAATCTCACGAGGTTCTCTCAGTGAAGAAGTAAAGATCCCAGAACTACTCACTTCCCTACTTTTGACATGGGGAGCAAAAGAATAAACATGTTTAAATATGCCTAGAACTTTTTCCAAAACAAATCCTTACACTTTAGGAGCAAAGACTTCTCCAGGGCCTTGTCCCAGCTGGGAGAAAGGCATTCTTCCCACTTCACCGTTCTTCAGCCTTCCTGTCTTACCTAAAGAGGAAAAATGTCAACAGGAGTCAACTGTTCAAAGAAATTGTTTAGAACCACTGTACCAGATAACTGATTAGGTGGCAGGGAAAATAAAAAGCTATACCCCTGTAGAAAAATTTGAATTTCACAAGTGCAAGAAAGAGGCCACTAAAAAGCTAAAATGTAATCAGAGGATTATGAAATGTTCCCCTGCCCTACATCTTGTCACTAAAGCAGGACTCCACTCTAATGGCATGTAATAGGGTTACATCAGAAAGAGCTTCAAGAGATACTATCTGAGAAACAATACATTAAGAAGTTCATTAATCAAAAGAGAAGACAAAAACAGGGAAGCCAGAAGAATTTTTAACCTCTAATACCTACATTTATAGCAAATATTAAGCACAGTTCAACTGTAAGACAGATGGCCATAACTTCCCACATTTACTTCATTTTCTGTTACTCAGTACAATCTGTTCAGTTTTCAACAAATAATTAAAAGATACAGCAAAGGGCAGGCAAAAACTGTCTGAAGGGACAATTATCAGAACCAGATTCAGATATAACATTGATGTTGAAATTATGAGGCAGGAAATTTGAAATAACTATGGCTAATACATTAATGGTCCTGTCTAAAAACAGACAACATGCAAGAATAGATAGGTAGTAAAGTCATACATGAAAAATCAAATAAAGAATAGAAGTAAAGGTTCAAAATAAAAAACACTGTAATAGAAAGTAACACTGACTTTGATGGGCTCATCAGTAGACGTGACACTGCTGAGGAAAGAATCAGTGAACCTGAAGATAGGTCAATAGAAATTTTCCAAATTGAAATGCAAAGAGATTAATGTGTATTTTGATAAGCTCCTTAGCTTTGAATATTTTATGAGAACATCTTTCAGTGCTATTTCTTCCAAAGTCTAAATTGAGAAAGACTGTATTAAAATTGAATCTGTTGTGATTTGTTTTAACTAATCAATTTTATCCTAAGATATTCAATAAGGTATAAAATGATTGCATAATTGTCACCCTGTTTCACTTAATTTGTCAAAAAATTACTAAATTCATGCATAGTAAAATGGCACCAACCAATATCAGACAGCTCTTTAGTGTCAAACTTTCTACCAGTTAAATTAAAGGTGAGTAAATTAACTAAGTTTATCTTTTCCTTTTTATTTAAAGTAAAAAACTCAAAAACTATAATATAACCATGGTCCCAAAATAATTCCTATGCACCGAATAATGTAGAAGAGGATTTAAAGTGCATAAATCTATAAATAATTTTAGAAAGTTTTAATAGGTGTTATAAAACATGAATAAAATGGTCATCAAAACAAAAGCATCCTGAAGTGATAAAAATGCTAATAAGAGCCCACACGGAATACATACTAAAAGCTCTTCTTTTCATAATTTGCCCATCACATTGTATGAGGCTTTTTTTCTATGATATTTTACCTGAACATTAGAAGCTATTTAGTCAATGCTGTATTGTATGTAGAATAACACTGTTGCTATGTTTGCTTCATACCCCCAGGAGGCATCATGCTTCTTTTCCTGGATGAAAATCCCCAAGTTTAGACAATAAGTTATATAGTCATTCTGATTTTATTGCTTATGGTCAATCACTGACACATAATTTTTAGGTCATGGAATCAATGTCTTCTTATATTAATGTGAAAACCACAGTACTCATTCTACCTTTGGTTGTATATATTGCCTTTTTACTATTGCCATCAGCTCATGGTTGGTTTTCCCATTTTCAAGTTACTTTTTAAAATTATAATCTAATCAAATTCTTATTACAGTCCATCTCTCATTTAGTAAAGGGTACTGTATCAGCTTTAGTCATCCTTTTCATTCTTAATTTTGTTATTCTTGCTTAACAATTCCACTCCTTTCTTATTTCCCAATGTGTGGTCACAGGCTGAATCAGAAACGATACCGTCTCTGAAACCAGGCATTTATTGCTTGATTTCTCAAGACTTCAACAACTCAGCAATTATTTGAATAAAAATAACTCCTTTTACTTTCTTTCACTTTTTAAGTAATATTACATTGAAATATAATGCATTTAAAGAAAAATGCTTACAAAAATAAAACCCAGAATAAGAAATTGCATAAATCAAATGACCCTGTGTCAACAAGTAGAATGTGTCTAATACCCCAGAGCCTCTGCATTTTTTACATTTCTTTTCCTATCCACGAATCATTCTCCTTCTCCCTTCTCTTCCTTTCTCTCTCTCTTCATATATATATTGACCCTTGAACAACATGACCCTTGAGCAATATATATGCTGACCCTTGAACAAAATGGTTTTAACTGAATGAGGCCACTTACATGAACATTAAAAAAATATGTTGAAAACATTTTGGGGGATTTGCACCAATTTGAAAAAAACTCGAAGATGAAATGTATAGCTTAGAAATACTTTTTAAATTAAGTAAAAGTTAGGTATGTGATGAATACATAAAATACATGTAGATTCGTCTATTTTATTATTTAATACCAAAAAATTTAAACAAATCCATCAGAAAAATTTTAAATTGAACAAAACTTTTGCACACAAACACTTAAGGACCATACATGGCACCATTTGCCTTCATGAGAAATGTAAACAAATATAAAGATGATGTATTAAATGATAACTGCATAAAATTAACCACAGTGCATACTGCACTACTATAATAATTTTTAACCACCTCCTATTGTTATTACAGTGGGCTTAAATGTTGTGAATATCTGCTTAAAATGCCATGTGATGCTATTCATCTCCCTTATGAACCGTTTCTTCCTCCAGTAAATTGTGTATCACAGTAAAGAGTGATCTAGTGCTGTTATTGCATATTTTTCATTGTGTTTAGTGCAACATCGTAAACCTTGAATCACACCATGGAACCCATAGGAAGTGCTGCTAATGATGCTCAGAGTGTTCCCAAGAAGCAGAGGAATGCTATGACATTACAAGAAGAAGCTGAATTGCTTGATAGGTACCATTGATTAAGGTCTGCAGCTATGATTACCTATCATTTCAAGATAAATGAATCCAATGGAAGGCACATTGTAAAAAGATAATAAAATGAAAATAAATAAAAAGGGAAAAAATCCATGAAGCTATCATTATAACTATACCAGCAGCATGAAAATCTTGAACATTTTGTGAAATACCTTTTTATCTTGTATTTAAAAAGCAGCTTTTATTTGGGAATAGGATTGCTATAAGAAAGGCATACTGATAGACTCATATAATTTAAGAAAATGCAAAGTCATTATATGAAAATGCAAAGCAAAGGAACGTGGAGAATTTAAAACTAGAGAATTTAATGCCAATGAAAGGATGGTTTGATAATTTTAGAATGAGGTTTGGCTCTTGAAATATCAAAATAACAAGAGAAGTGGCTTCTGCTGACCAAGAGGCAGCAGACGAGCTCCTAGAGGCAACTAAGAAAATCATTGAGAGAAAGGATATCTACTTGAACAAGTTTTTAATGCAGAAAAAAGTGTCCTGTTCTGAAAAAAAAAAAAATAGACTATCACAAAGGACATTTATTAGTACAAAAGAGAAGTGAGCCTCAGGATTTAAGGCAAGAAGAAATAGGCTAACTCCACTCTTTTGTGCAAATGCATTTGGTGTTATGATCAGGACTGTCCTTATGTATAAAGCTGCTAACGCTGAGCATTGTAGAGAAAAGAGAAAAAACAGCTACTAGTTTTTTGGTTGTACAAGAAGGCCTGGACAAGGAGAATCTTTTTTCTGGATTGGTTGCATTGATGCTTTGTTCCTGATTTCGGGAAGTAACTTGTCAGTAAGGAACTGCCTTTTAAAGTTTCTTTTATTGTTTAATTGGACAATGCCCTGGCCACTCAGAACCCCATGAGTTCAACAACAAAGCTGTCAAAGGGGTCTATTTGTCCCCAAATACAATGTCTTTAGTTCAGTTTCTATATCATGGGGTCACAAGGACCTTTAAGGTTCATTACACTGAGTACTCTATGGAAAGGATTGCATGGCTATGAAAGAGAACCTAGATAGAACATCATGAAAGTCTGGAGCAATTACATCATTGAAGATGCTGTAGTTATTACAGAAAAAGTCTTGAAAGCCAGCAAGCCAGAAATAATAAATTCTTGCTGGAGGAAACTGTGTGCAGATATTGTGCAGGACTTCACAGAATTTACAAAAGAGCTAATCAAGGAAATTATGAAGGACTGTAAATATGGCAAAAAAAGGTGAGTAGTGAAGGCCTTCAAGGTGTGGACTTTGGAAAAGTTCAAGAGCTAGTAGATACCACACCAGATATATAAACAGAAGATGACTTGACAGAAATGAGTGCTTTCCAACCAGTGCCTGATGATTAGGAAGAAGACATAGAAGAAACAGCATTTATTTCTCTTGCATATGTTTGCAGAACTCCAGGAGTGGTAATGACTCAGACCTTGCATCTTCTGGTCTTCTTGGAGGTTCTGCTACAGTCTGCAGATCAGCTGAATTAACTTTGTTCCATGTTTCTCGTTCTCCAACTGTGGCTTGTGATACAACTGCTATGTTATCTTTTCAGAAAAGGCCTCTAAACCAATATATTAAGCACAACTTTATAAGCATAAGCTAATAATTGGTGTCATTTACAGCCACCAAAATCCCATTGGTCAATATAATCACGTGGTTAAAACTGAAACCTAGGTAATCCCAAAGACGTAGATATTAAATACTAGTAAAATAGAGTGAAAAATTAGAAAAATAATTCAATGTAATACAACAACAAGCATGTGCATATACTTAAACAGGAAAGACCTAGGCTATAGAGGTAGCTGGTGATATTAGTGATGTACAAAGGGAAGTGGGGGATCTCATTCCCTTTTCAAACAGTTTTATCATTACTTCCTTCCTTTTCCAAGTGAAAATGTGCTTTCCAAAAATAATTACCTTAGACTTTTATTATTGGAAGAGTTTTTTTCGTTAGTATCTTCTTTAAAATATCTGTAGAATTTTGTATAGCTTTCAAACTTTCTTCCTTGAAGCTCTTGGTTCTCTTGGTTCTTTTCATATGACAGGCTTCTATTTTTGCCTCTTATTTTTCTCAGTTGTCTCATCTCACCTTTGATTTTTCTCCTGTTTTATCTGATATTTAAAGACAGGAGTACCTTTTATTACAACCCTATTGCAGCATTTTTCTTCTTTGTGTATTTTATCTCTACTTTATTTAAGTCCCATGTATTAAATGTAAATTATATAAAAGTAGCAACAATCTCTGGTCTAGTCTAGGCCTCACTTATTAGATCTAGATATGCATCCAACCGTATATATGACCCCATCACAATCTCTCTAATTTTACTATCTGTATCTCCTTCTTCTGGCCAGGTAAGCTCGATACATACTCGTCTTAAGTTATTTCAAAACACAAAGGCCTGTTCTGCCAGAGTCTTTGTGTATATGTTGTTTTCTTTGTTAATGGTGTCTTTACTTACAGTCTGGACGTATTTGTCTTGTTCTTATTCCTCTAGTCTCTTATAAAATGTCAACTTCTTAAGTAAAACTTCTCTCAGCATCAAATCAAAAGAGATATTCTTTCACCTTCCACCACTAGTTTTGCTTTCTCAAATTCCAAAAGAAAAAAAAATCAATAGTACTTGTTAAAGCGTGGTAAGAAATGCTTTACACAGGACCATAATGATCATTCTTTTGGGAGACAGGCCAAGCTAATCTGACATCCTGGGGGATGGTGGAAAATAAAACTTTGATAAGATATTGAGGATGATCAGATATCGAGGATGAAGGAGTTTCTTGCTAAACTGAGTTAGGAAGTTTCTGTGTTAAAACTAAATTTTACAAATAAGTGCACAGATGGGCCTAGCAGAAGATTCAGAATCCTGTCTGAAGTTTGGCCAAGTGGAGAATCTTTGTCATTCTCTCTTGCTCAAGGAAAGAGAAACATTCTTTCTTCCTTTGAACAACGTAACTCCATTTTCTTGTTTATTAAGGTTCAATTAAATCATCTGTTGGGACTTGGTAGTACAGGATATCTCCTGGATGGTGTGAACTATCAAACCTTTAATCACGACCGACTAATTTATATTACTTTTAGTTTTTTTTTAAAAAAGCAAATATTAATATTTGAAATAATCTGTAGACTCCGTTTCTGAGTCTAAAGGGCAGCCAGTTGAAAAGATTTCTAGATGCCGACCCTGAAGCTTCTTTAGTTGAAATGAGGATAGGCAGTGGCCATCTGACAGATTTCCTGTGTTTGCAATTTGGACGTCATAAAGGTTGTTCTTGCATAAGCTGTTGTGGAGGTTTCTCTGAGTATTATATCAGGTCATCCAGCTTCAGCTTGCAGGGCATCAGAAAAAAAGCAGTTTGTATTATACCGTGTTGTTCAGCTTTAGCTTTCTTCCAGAGTTTCTGGAAAAGAGCAGTGATTCCAACCAAAAAGGATGGAAGAAAATTGAAAATGTTTGTATGAAAAGTCATAGCCAGATATTGAAGTAAACTAGAATTATTGAGACTGCAGTCCAGATTATAGATACATAATAAAACCTCAAAGAAGACAAACATGACTAAAATCTATTATTGAGTGTGCTGTAGTTTCCTTCTAAAACATAATTTTTGTCTCTATAGCCACTTCCATTTCTACCAAAGATAAAGTAAGATATTTGCAAAATAATTTGTTTTATTAAACTTTGCCCGATTATTTACATAAGTGCAGCAAGAGTAGTGATTGACAATATAGGTTCTTTTTATGTTTGTTTCACTAGAACTTTTCATTAAAAAATTTCAGATTCGAGTTGTAAACACCTCTTGACACTCTAAAGACAAGCCCAGGACCTGCCATCAGGATGCATCTGTAACACTTATATATTTTGGTGAATTCCTTTCTTAGTGAGGTACCCAAAATATCCTGAGGTTCCTAGACCTACAAGGAAATGACATTCTTGATATGGCTAGGGCTGTGTCCCCACCCAAATATTTTGAATTGTAGCTCCCATAATTCGCACGTGTCGTGGGAGAGACCCAGTGGGAGATAATTGAATCATGGGGGCTTTCCTCCATACTGTTCTTGTGGTAGTGAACAAGTCTCATGAGATCTGATGGTTCTATAAGGAGTTTTCCCTTTCACTGGGCAATCTTAGTCTCTCTTGTCTGCCACCATGTAAGACGTGCCTTTCACCTACTATGATTGTGAGGCCACCACAGCCATGTGGAACTGTGAGTCTATTAAGCCTCTTTTTCTTTATAAAAGCTGGAAATACTCAGGCTGGTTTTCCAAAGGGGGCTTTATTGCCATAAAGTAAATCTTAGTTTCTTGAAGCTCTTTGGTCATATCTGAAAATGTGACATTCCAGTGAAAGTCTTAGTAATGTATCAGTTTTTTCAATTATGTCCTGTTATGAAGAAAGTATATTATTATTGAACTTATGCAAATTACTATCTTGACATAAAAATAAGAACACAAATAGTTGCCAAATTCTGGAGTAAATATGTAAGAAGAAAAAGTATTTCCTTTATTGATCCCAAACTACGCTTTACTGAGTTGCTGAAAGCAATTAGCTTAAAAGAAAAAGGTTTTCTTAAATCTGGACAACAAAACATTTAAGGAATGAACAATGTTTCAAACAAAGAATCATTAAAAATTATCCTTGTTAGTTCATTTAGTGTCATATTGTTAATTCTTGACCTTGGTTAGCAGCTTTATTAAACCTCAAGCTTCTTCTTTAGAGTTTTGGAAATTCTTATCCAGTGCAATGGCATGATCTCAAAGTTACCAGAAACCTATATTCCAGAGCACATGTTAGAGTATTTTTAATAAATGTCCTGAAAGAAGAGGGACTGTTAGACTGTAGCTGATTGCATGCTTTTTGGGAAGAATTAAAGTAAAACAATAGCTGTCTATGAAAACAAAGACTTGAAATTATTATGGGTAAAATTCTTCTGAGAGTACATGTGTAATAATGACACAACTGACAAGGACATTTGGTTGTTTTAGTGGCATACAACATTTTAACATAATAAACAAAATTATAACTAACTGAGAACATGTTAGATTTCTAGAGATCTCATAGTATATTTGGAACAATGATATCAATAATATATCCACAAATACAATTTTTAAATTTTTTTAAAAAAATTAAGCATCATTTATTTGACAATGCTTCTCATATAATTTAACATATAAATAAGCATAGTTAGTTGAATATCTCTCTTCTACAAGGTTCGAGACATGTTCTTTGAGTTTTGAAGGTGACCAACTAGAAAATCCCAAAGTTAATTCAAAGTGAAAAGGCTTAAAACTTTACTTTGAGAAGTTTGTCAAAAGTGCCAAATGGTTTGAAACACTTAAATAAGTATGATTTTAGTTATCTATTTGTTCTAAGTGACAAGAAAAGATTTTAAAGAAATATACAGAAAGTTACATAGTTGTAAACAAAATTAATATTGAGAAGAATCATGTTGCTTAAGTAATCAAAGACCTAATAAAAGACAAAATGAGGTACAAGAATCTATCCTGATAAAATGCAAAGCCTTTATTTTATAGGCCAGATGCCTAAGAGGTAAAGAAAAATCTTCCACAATTTTCTGTTAAGAACAGATAAATATTTTCTAAATACTGTTGTTTTGACAGAAAAGGCTAAATTTTACTTTTACTGACTATTAAAACCAATTTTAATAAAATTGTATACATAAATTTATCCAATCTCAGTCAGCTTTGCCAACACAAGTTAAGATTTTTACAACCCCTTTTATCTCTCTCTTTTTTTCAACTTATGTTCAGCAAGCAATCAACAATTTATTTCAGTCTGCATTCTACATTCTGCTCTCAGATTGGACTTATAATTTTGCAAGCGTAAACACCTAGCATAGAAAACACAAAGTTTTCTGACTAGCAAACCCAGGCAAAAATGCATGTCTATATTATATTTAATGCTCACAATTCTGAAAACTTCCATATTTTTATTTTACACACAATTTTATGCCTAGTTTTTATTTATCCCAGATTATGTTAACTTAAAAAAAAATTTGGGTCAGTTTTCTTTTTTTTCTGAGCATTTTATGCATGCTTAATTTGTTTTAGTGCTCATTTATCCCTCAACCAATTTGGGTATTTTAGCTTGGTAATATCACTGGGGGTAGAAAAATATTTTATATAAACAACACATAAATACAGAGAGATACATATACAAATACATAAAGACACAAACAAATGAAACCAGATACTTAAAAAAAATAAATCTTTAAAATTTGTAGTAATGAAGCAGTAAAAGACTCACTGATTTATCTTTATGTGAAAATAAATTCTGTTTATCTTCACTCTATATGAAGATAAATTCTGTTTAATCTTTACTCCATGTGAAGATAAATTCTGTTTTTGATGAAAATAAGATAAGTTGAGTTTACCTACTCAATAAAAGCTAAAGCTTTTTAATGATATTTGTGAAGAAGGCGACTAAGATTTTTCATTTGCCCACTTTCCAAATAGTGTCCTGCTCTTGTCTCTTTTCAGCCACAGACGCTTGCCTTTGAGGAGACTACGCATCCCTTGACAACTCTCAATGGAGGCTACAGGACTCAAAGTTCCAGTGTTTGATGGGTTGGAGTGGGAGGGAAAATTGTCTCACAGGGGTAAATCGAGTTTGCAGAGCATATAATCAGCAGGTGTTTAAGAAGAAGGGTTTTCTGTAATCCCAGTACTTTGGGAGGCTGAGGCGGGTGGATCATGAGGTCAGGAGATCGAGACCGTCCTGGTTAACACGGTGAAACCCTGTCTCTACTAAAAAAATTACAAAAAATTAGCCAGGCGTGGTGGCGGGCGCCTGTAGTCCCAGCTACTCGGGAGGCTGAGGCAGGAGAATGGTGTGAACCCAGGGGGCGGAGCTTGCAGTCAGCCGAGATTGCACCACTGCACTCGGGCCTGGGCGAAAGAGCCAGACTCCGTCTCAAAAAAAAAAAAAAAAAAAGAAGAAGGGTTTTAGGTGACAGAGAATTTCCCATGGGACAGACAGGGCCCAACAGAATAAAGAAGTCTCGTGGAGAGCCAGAAAGAAGGACTTTTAGCCCAGGGAGTCAGGGAATAATCTCTACTCAAAAATAGAGAGCCAAAAAAAAAAAAAAAAAAAAAAAAAAAAAAAAAAAGATAATTACAGCCCAGCAATTCAGGGAATGGTTCCCACTCAGAACAAGGAGCCAAGAAAAGACCTTACATCCCACGGGGTATGTTTCAAAAAAGCCTGGGATTTTAATCCAGCTTTGGAGAGTATCCTCATATCTTAAGAATCAAAATTTGTTTTTACCAGCTGTAGCTGATGTTTGTCTGGGGCAACGTTTCAGGAGTCTGACTCTCCAATTGATTCTCACTCAGCCAGAAATGAAGACAAAAGCTTCAAAGGAGTGTACTTAGGGTCCTGGGTGAGAGACCTAGGAATCTAATGATAAATCTGGTCCTATCTGTCATCACACTATAACTGTTAAAGAATGATTAAATGATACTTGTTAAAGCACAATAAAAAAAGACTATAATCCAAACCATTATATTTGTTTTAGGGACCACTTGTAGTGTGGGAAGAGATATTGGACTCAATTCTAAATACAACATGGAGAAGTGGAAATATATACCCATGAAACAGTGTACATATCAGTAGATAGAAAATTACTAACAGAAAACATCAGGGGTAAGAAAGATTCTGGCTAAACTGCTCAAACATGACGCTTGCTGAAGACAGGCCAAGGTGATCAGACAGCATTGAGAGGATAGTGAAGAATGAGAGATCTGATCTGCTATCAAGGAGTGGGAGAGGAGAAGTGCTTGCTAAACTGACTTAGCAGGGTTCTTTGCTAAAACTGGAATTTGCAAGGAACTGCACAGATGGGCCTAGCAGAAGATTAAAAAGCCTGGCTACCATTTGGTTAAGAAAAAAATACTTGTCAAAATATTTTATTTCTTCGGTTTCTTAACAATCTTCCCACTTTGAAACCATACTTCCATTTGTTTCTTTATTTATGGTTATTCTCTTCCAGTAGCTGCAGGCTACATAAGGAGAACATAACTGATTGCTGTTCCATTCCATGCATAATGATTAGTAGAATAGTTAAAACTTAATAAACTATCAATATTTGTAGAATGTCTTAATGAGTTATTTTATATGACCTTTACTACTTAAAATGTTGAAGTAAAATATTTATCAGAGGTTAAAAAGTATGGCAATTAAAAAAATTGAAATAATATTCAATAATACTACTACTAACATTTGGAAATATCAATTTCCAGATAGTAAAGGATGGACTATCAATGTAATTTATTTTATGACTGAAATGAGCACAATTATTAAATTGATCCAAATAAATATGGTGTCTTCAATCGATAAGAAACCAAGAAATGTACCTACTTTGACAAAATGTTTGTATAATATAGATATATTTTATTTAAGACATGGATAAAACTATGGAAAGTTTATAATGCTGAAATTACTCGAATAGTTTTTATTTAAGCAATTATACTATGTTATGGGCAGGAGTTATGTAACATCAAAAATATGTCTGTCAAAACATTCTAATCTGTGTTTAAATACTGACACTACCACTTTCTACTTGTAGGAATGTAATCAAACTACAAAAATGATTTTGATTGTTAATTCATCAACATATTAATTAAAAAGAACTGATAAAATATTATGCACGATAAACAGATGTGAGAATCACAGTTACATTTTTGACAAATATAGAACTCAGTGAATAAAGTTATTGTTTTTAATTTTTTTTATTACTGGGAACATTGCCTTTATTATTTTCCATTCTAAATGATGATAATTTTATAGTAATTTTATCATTAAGCAAATGAAAAAAGAAAATATGCAATAAGTAATGTTAATCTTCAGTGTATCAGATAGTTTATACTATTTTTGTCTCTTTATTACATAAGAAAGAATTAGAAAGATAACACAACTTGTTCATAGACTCACAACAATGGGAGAATTAGGGCAGAACTAATGCTTAAGGGCCAAGGTAAAGCTTTTCCTCTACTCTCTAAAGATTCACTGAAAATGAACTAAAACTGGACAGATGAATAGGCTAAAAAGCATGTGCAATATTTATTTAATGTGTATAGCATGGAGGAATAACAGGAGAATGATTACTCAATAACTGAATAGGTCCAGATGCTTATATACACTTCTTAATAGCGGGAGGAGAGATGAAGGATAGAAGAAAATTATTTTCAAAGGAGATGAATAAGCCAAAAGTACAATGTTCTGGAACAAAGTTCTTCTGAGCTATGAGGGGAAGTGGCAGGAAGGTGAGATGTGAAACTTCAGTGTGAACAATGTTAGTCTTATTATGTAAATAAAGTATTCCAGATAATCTCTTAAAGCTGCCTTCAGAATAAATAATAAGTATGTCTGGACATGGCGAAGACTCCCAACCTACGGAGAAGTTCTTAAGACAATTATATGTCTTCTGGAAATAAGTTTTCTTAGATAAAGAAATTCCATAGAGAGTCTGTCCTGTTTGCTTCCGAAAAGTGGATAAGAGAACAGGAAAGCAGGGGAAGGTCAGAAACCTTGAGGCTTCTTTAGTCCAGCATGTCAAAGTGCCACATTTTGGAGTATCATTTTCTAAATTTTCTAAGTCCCAATAATACAAACAGGAAAATAGTGAATTCAAAAGTAAGATTTGCATTGTCATATGTAGCATGTATACAAAGCTACCTTGATTAATGGAACATAAATAATTAGATACTGACTTTACTTTGAGGAAATCCTAATTTATATAAATCTCCATGGTAGTATTAAAGATTCCTCTCATTGTACCCAGTAGGTTCTTCTTGCCCACTGCACAGAAAAGCCAATACACTGAGACAAAAGGATTGCGGCAGAGGATGAGTTTAATAATCACAAGGCAGCAGAGCCACAGGACACTAGATATTTCTCAAGTCCACCTCTCTCAGAACACATAGGCTAGAGTTTTTAAGGATAATTTGGTAGGCAGGGGCTAGGGAATGGGTGTTGCTGATGGGCTGGGGATAAAATCATAGGGATATCTAAACTATCATTGTGCACTGAGTCAGTTTCTGAGTGAAGGTTACATGATTGGTTAGGTTAATTCCTTGGTATAAGTCATGAGTCTGGACAGAGTCATTGGTAGCCATGATGCAAAAGTCTAAAAAACATCTCAAAAAACAGTCTTAGGTTTTATAGTAGTTATGTTATCTATAGAGACAGTTGGGGAAGTTACAAATCTGGCTACCTCAGGCTACAAGACCCCTGAGCAGTAAGCAGCTGCTTAGTTATAAAGATTAGTTATAAAACAATCACTAGTTACAGTTTACCTATACCTAAATCCTAACAGAATTCAAGCCCCTAAAATAATCCAAACTTGTGGTCAATTTATTAGTTTTAAAAAGGCGATTTTGATCCCTCAGCAAGGATGGAGTTACTTTGGGGAAGGAATGTTTTCATTGTTGTTTTCAAGTTAAACTTTAAATTTCCCTCATAATTAGCTTGGTCCATGCTCCGGAATGCGCAAGTAGAGTTAGGTTGTCAGGTGGAAGCAAGATGAAGTCAGCCATATTAGCTTTCCCTCACTGTCATAATTTTTGCAAAGGTGGTTTCACCATCAAAGAACCCAACACAATTGTTTATTTTTAAGAACAGACATTATAATATAAATGTGTGTGTGACTATTATGTCTAATATACTATAATAAGAATGAATAACTAAATAAATATATAAATATGTCTTTAACATGTACATAAGGTGAAACCCATGCAGCTTGCATCTTATATTTTGTTTAGAAATGATTCTACATTTTTCACTATATGAGTACATAGTAGTATGTATGTTAAATGAAGTTTGTTCTATTAGAAAAATGTTGAGGCTTACCAAATAAGCTTTCTTGGGAATTTATATACCTACAACTTGTTAAATTAGGGAAATTAAATCAGTGAAAAAGCAGAGATTGTTGCAGATATTCTACTGTCTTGGGAAAAGAGCATAGACTAGTTATTATCAATTGGAATCTGATTTTTTTTAAAAAAAGAATACTCTCCTAGGGAACTCCTGTCAACTTATTTGTTAAATATTTTTTGGAGAATGGATTTAAATTGTCTTACAATCTTTATATTCTGCCAGTCAACAAATAATCATAATACCTTCCATAGCTTATTAGTATTGGTGAGCAGACATAGCCCAAGAGTTTCCATGGAAATTTTGGGGAGTCATAATTTTCATTTTCATTAAAGTCTTGCTTTACCAGAGGATATGTTACATTCTCAGTTGATTTGCATAAATTTGTGAATAACAATCCTTCTTTGGACAATAAAATATGGTTTTACTGAAGACAAAACACATTTCCTCATACAAAATGTAAACCACAAATGATTTACACAATAAAAACTGAACTCAGTTATTAACTATATTTTAACGTATTATATGTAAAATTATCCTCTGTGGAACAAATTGTTTTATACCTGTGCAAACTACCTCTTTCTGGTGTTCTATTTATACAAACTAGCCTCCATTTTCAAGAGATTTATAAAGCAGTTCATTGTCCATAATTGTTCAGATTTATCTCCATTCCTCTGCGTCAAAACACTACACATGGATGTGCTTTCTGAAATAATTTAAACATTTTTATTCAAAGCTTTTAATAATTTTTACAGCATAACTTTAACATTTGAATTTTGAAAATGCTTCTAAATTAAAGCACCTTTAAAATGCTTCTAATTTAAAATATACGTTTTTTGCCCTGAATACAAATATTATTATATTAAAAATAAAAAAGTATGAAAACCACAATTCCATGCATATGTTTAATGTAAGATTAGTTGGACTCTAAAATTAAAAATGTAAAAAGAACCACACATGTGACATTAAATGTTAATGCTTTGGTATCTAATCAAGTGAGGCATAATGGGATTATATAAGTCAGAACATTTTTAAAAGAAATAGAAGTATATTAGTAAATATTGAGAGAAATAAAAAATTAAGACCCTTGCATTGGTTATAACCAAGATGTTTAATTCTTGATAATATAAAATAGAATTGTACTTTTCAATAGTAGGTTTAATTGGTTGGGTTCCTTATATTTAAGGAACTAGAAATAAACATTTAAATATTAGTTGAATAGAAACTTCTAAAATTAATTATTAAAATATCTATTTAAATAGTGGGTAAATATTTCAAATATAAAGTAAAATGCTTTATATTTTATTTTATTTTATTTTTTGAGACAAGATCTCACTCTGTCACCCAGGCTGGAGTGCAGTGTGGCAATCACAGCTCATTGTAACCTCTGCCTCCAGGTTCAAGTGATTCTCCTGCCTCAGCTTCCCAAGTAGCTGGGACTCCAGGTAGACACCACCATTCTTGGCTAATTTTTAAAGAAATTTTTGTAGAAACAGGGTTTCACCATATTGTCCAGGCTGGTGACAAACTTAATTTATAATTAAATACAGAAAAATATTTTTTTTTCATAAATTTAGTACAACCAGGTATACGGTGTTCATAAAGTTAACAATAGTGTGTGGTAATGTCTTAGGCTTTCGTATTCAGTCACCATTGACTCACTGGCTCACCCAGAGCAATTTCCAGTCTTGTAAGCTCTATTCATAGTAAGTGCCTTATACAGGTGTACAATTTTTTATTTTTTATACTGTATTTTTATTTGTTCATCTTCTATGTTTTCATATATTTAGGTTACAAATACCTCTCATTGTGTTACAGTTGACTACACTATTCTGTACAGTAACTTACTGTACAGATTTATAGTTTAGGAGCAACATGCTATACTTTATAGCTTAGATGTGTGGTAGCCTATATATATACATACATATATATAGATGTAGTACAGGTATATAGTCTATGGTATTTGCACAATGACGAAATTGTTTAAGGATGCATTTCTCAGAAAGTATCACAGTGGTTAGGTGAAGCATGACTGTAGATTAATGTTTTTTGTTGAGTTCAGGAATGATATAATGGGATTTATTACAATGTAAATATACATTAGTCCTTCGGTCCCTCACACTGCTAACTGGTCCCCCAATTTGTAATTAACACAGGTTTGATTGGAATATTACTCATAAATTAATTCATCAGATAAAAATAGTCAATGCAGACTTCTAGAGACATTTTGATTTTTTCACTATTTAGGTTTGTTATATGGAGCCTCAGTTTTGCAGTAAATAAACTTATTTACTTACTTTCCTTTGTTATCTTTAATTTTATTTTTGAATACAACTATTTTTAAGTAAGATAATCAATTTCTTATTTTTAATTACATATTTAGGAAAAATACCACATTCATAAATTAGCGATAATCTAATGGAGTAGACAGACTGCTAAATTCACAATGAAAATCAATGTGAAGCTGTAAAAGAAGCAGACTTGAATACGGATGTTGCAGAGTCTGTGGGCTTTACTCATCCATACTTCTGTATATAATTATAGATGTTTCAAATCAAGGTTTAGAAATTTCATAATGCTAACTGCTATAATTTGTATATTTGGTCTCTCCAAATCTCCTGTTGAAGTGTAATCCCCATTGTTTGACATGGGGCCTGGTAGGAGGTGTTGGGAAAATGGGGATGCATCCCTCATGAATGGTTTTTTGCCCTTCCTAAGGTAATAGGGATGTTCTTACTCTGTTAGTTCACGTGAGATCTGGTTGTTTAAAAAATGGTGGCACCTCCCCTTCTGTCTCCTGCTTTCTCCCTCACCATGTGATACACTGGATTCCCCTTCACCTTCTGCCATGATTGTAATCTTCCTACAGGCCTCACCAGAAGCCAAGTAGTTTTTTGTTTGTTTGTTTTTTTGTTTGTCTTGAGAAGGGGTCTCACTGTTTCACCCAGGCTGGAGTGCAGAAGGTGAAGGGGAATCCAGTGTATCACATGGTGAGGGAGAAAACTTAAAAATGGAATGTTATTGTGTGATTCATTTTTAGTACATAAACATTATTGACTTTAGTGTAATTGAAATAACAATGTTACTCATTATTTTTCAATAAGAATGTTGTTAGAATTATCATTTTTCCATTTTATACGTATTTTACTCAAATATGAGAGTGTATGTATTTATATCTATCGAAAACAAGGCTCACAATTTGGAAGAATGCTCCACCTGACTGAACACATTTTCATCTTTACCTAGGAATCCTCCTTTTTATTTCAAGAACGAAGCAAAGTTAATTATCTCTAAGTCTTTTATCTGCAAAATTTACAATGTAAACATTTGGTTTTGTATTATTTTATATATTTTTTATTTCAGGGCTTTTCAGCTAACAGTCGAGCTCAGACATATTTTAGTTCCAGGCTTCAGGCTTCCAGCTAAGCCAAATCTATTTGTGCTAACAATCTCCAACAGCTGCACTCTGTATTATCTGAGACTTCTGGGAGGTCTTCCAAGGGAACTCCAAATAGAGCATATTGCAGTGATCTAGTCTGGAGTGCTGAAAATAATGTTCCACCTGCAATAATTTCTGTGCCACAGAAAACTTGCGGTAGCTACATAGTACTCTGGAGAGAGAGAGAGAGAGAGAGAGGACAGAGACAAGATAGAGAGAGGGTGGCCTACGACTATTTGTTTCCAAAAGTTTATTCATCCTATTTATCCTCCTTTTGTCTATCCCTTGGCTTATTAAGGATAATGAGCTGTTACCTCAATCACTCCCACCCACCAGGGGTCCCATTCTCTTTCCACATTCTCCCTCCTTCCTTTTATTGCTTCCTATGATGTGAGCAACAGCCCAGGGAAAGAACTGGAGTGAACCATATAACATCATTGCTATTAATGAGCTCAAAAAGCACAGTCCATGAAAGTACACTAGTTCTGTAGAAGAAAAAAGAGTGGAGATTTTACCACCCATTATTCAAATGATGAATGAACACACTGCTATTTCTGTGAGACAGATGAACAGTTAGAGATGGAGAGGGTTGTTCAGAGGGACTGTGTCAGTAAAGCCACCACTTATGAAAAATGACTGCAGCGCTGTGCTTTATCGGCATTAATGGTGCTTAAAATGCACTCTTGAGCATACACATATGCTTACACTAGTACAGAGGTTTGACAGCATTTGCTCTTCCTAGATATTTTTTAACCAACAGATGAGTGAAAGTGATTTCTAAAGTTCAGCTTCATAACTTTTCTAATAAAAAATGAGAAACTTTTGTTACAGCTTGATAAATGATTCTACCTGGAGAAAATTCTCAGAACCATAACCATTTTTTACATTGAGATGTGCCAAAATGCTTGAAAATGAGTTAGGCAGCTGACAGACTATTCTATTTGCTAGTTCAAGATATGGTCTTTAGGCATTTGCTTCTCTTCCTTCCATCTGAATACCTTAGTCAGGAAATTACTCTTACAGTGATATAGAATTCCATATGAATTCTTGTCCAGTATAATTATAGAAAACCAGTGTCAGAAAGTTGAATTTTTTAAAGCTTTAGCCCAGTAGATAAATTTTTCTGTGGTTTACATGAGTAAATGTTAATTTATGAAGAAGATAAAGTGTGTGAAATGTTAACATATGCCATATTTTGGTCCTAGCAGTGTTTCCAAAATTGATCAAAAAGGATAATTTTAAATTCACATTTCAGTATGATTTTAGCCAGTTGTACAATTCTCAATATGTATTTCTATTTATTCTACACATAATGTTTTGAAGAAAATCAGTAGTATTTCTTATATTACTTAAAGTGACAAATTCCCTGAACTATATAAAATAATTTTATTTGTACTTAGAAAAGGGTGACAAAGAATTTTTATACCATTATTACTAGCCTGACACCAAGGTTTTGAGCAACTGGCCCAGGAGGAAATTCTTCTGCTTCATTAAGTTGATAACACTGGCTATAATGATAAGCGGTTACAAATGTAGAGCAAATTAGCTCTTACACTCAGATTTAACATTTTGACAATTTCATTCTAAGTATTCGTAGAGATGTATTAAAAAAAAAAAACCAAACATTGCACAAGATGTTTCTGAATATAAATGTAAATGTATAGGGGGGAAATGATGTTAAACTTTAAATCATGTGTTTATGGTATTAGTTATAATCAATAAAAGTGTTTTACATCTGACTTTTATACCCTCAATTCTGCCTGCCAGTCTTCCTTTCACAAAGGTCATATTTAATGCCCAAATTGCCAGTTCCACAGACTTTTAAAATGCTCATCTCAATTACCTCTGTATATCACTTGTCCATTCTCTTGCTGGACTTTGTTTCTGCATTATTAACTGTTTCTGAGTCTCCTTCTGTCTTTAGGATTACTCTTGGCTGGCTTATCCTATTTTAAACTCACTGATCCAGGCTTGCTATCATTCTCTCCTATTGTTACTGGACCAAAGTTGGGTCCGCCTGCCTGGTGCTGCAAAGCTGAACCCTGACATTGGGACTGCATTGAAAGAAAGTGAGATATTTATTGCAGAGCACTACACAAGGAGAACTGGGCAAGTCATGCCTATGACTCAAATTCCCAGAGGGTTTACAGGTAAGGAATTTTAAAGATGGACAGGCAGAGGTTCCAGGCAAGATCACATCAACACATGGAGGCCATCCATTGGTTTGGCCTAAACAGGCAGGCTCTAAGCAGAGCCCCACAAGTCCTAAGTGGATTCAGAGATTTTCTGATTTGGGATTGGTTAGAAGCTTCATCTAAAGATTTGAATCAGCACAAAAGAATGTTATCTCTGCCCTGTGGGTGTGACCTCCTCCGGGCCCCTCAGGAAGAAACTTAGAACAAACAACGGTGGTCCACGTTCAGTCCTCACTTAGCCCTTCCCTGAGGTCCACATGCCGGTGGATCCACTTGGTGGGGGTCTGGGTTTCTAAAAACAACTCAAAGACATATATTAAAATGTTAAATTTAGTTTTTTATAGAGAACAAAAGATCTTGTGACTCTAACTCCTTTGACTTTTGTTTTAAGCTATTATTACGTCCCGCTTATCAAGTTGTTCATTTATTTCTCAGCGTTTGCCTGGAATTTCTCTTGAAGAAACTCAAAATCTTCCTTTATTTCCATGCTGAGGGGGGCCCAGACAGGCCCTTAAGAGAGGTCCCTGTGCTATCTTTCTATCCCCTGAGTGACCAAAGCTTCAGCTAGAGCCTGTAGAGTAGGACTTTCATGATGACATTTCCCCTGGGTTCCAGATATATTATTTCTAGTCATGGATATCTCATGCAATTGGGGACATTCAAGAAAGAATTCTCACCAACTTGTAAATATATTTTATGCATACTATCTGTCTCAATGAATAGATGGTAAAGCCTCTGAGGGCAGAGACTATGTATCTTTCTTTCCATTTTAAAATTACTTTTCTTATTGCTATCTGGCAGAGTCCTCCCTTCCCTGAACCACTCTGCCGCAGCCCTCCCCTCATCTCTTCAAATGACACAATCATCTGGAAAGGGGCTGTTTCACAGAGGTCTGAGTTCAGAATCCTTTCCTACATGTTGCTGGGTTCTAAAACCCTAACCTCATGTGTTATTGTCCCAGCCATAAAAATGATTGGTGCTTCCTAAAATCACTACAACTGTGGTCCCTTAGTATCCACTCTTCCTTTGTGTTCAGACCTCCAGCATTTTTTCCAAATTCTCTAATTTAAATTCTTTCATTAAAAAACACCGCAATTTTAACTTTTCTGTTTTGATCCTGAACAGTCACAAATGTGTTACTAGTAGTTTCTCACATTATGCCTCCCCATTACACTTTCTTAATAGAGGCTTCGATGTATCAAAGTTTTTACTTATAATGAAGTCAATTTATCTATTCATTTTTTTTCAACAGTAATAGTTTTTTTTGTGCATACGTAACAAATATTTTCTTGCTCCAAAGCAAGGTATCTATTCTCTCATATTAACCTTTGGGGAATTTATCTTCTCAAACGTTTAACTGATTTTTTTTTTTTTTTTTTTTTTTTGGTATACGGTTTGAAAAGAAATGATTCTTTTTTTTTTTTTTAACCCCTTAACATATACATAACAATTACTCAGGATAGTTTTTTTTGAAATACCGTTCTTTCCACATTGTCATTTCAGATAGCTCTGTTTTATATCCATTTCTACACGCGTGTTTATTCTCTGAAGTCTTCATCATGGTCCACTGGTCTCGTTTCTATCCAGCTACCAAAGCCTCACTTTTTCAATTACTGTAGTTGTATCCAGTAACAAGCTCCCATCTTGTTTTTCTAAAGATTAGGGAAAAGCCATAGCCTTTTTAGTATAAATGTGAACGCGTTTTAGTTTTTAAAAAAATGACCCTGGAATTACATTGACTCCATAGATTAATTTAGAGAGAATTAACATCTTTATGGTATATGTGAACACCATTGAGTTTTAATCTTTTTAAAGGACCAACTTTAAATTTTATTGATTTTCTCTTTTTTCTTCTTTTCAATTTGATTGACTTCTGTTCTAATTTTTATCTTTGATTTTATCATTCTTGCTTTTGACTTAAATTATTCTTTCTTCTTTAGTTTCCAAGTGTGAAAGTTACATTATTGATTATAGATCTTTATAGTTTTCCAATAAATTAATTTGATTGTATACATTTAACTCTAAGCACGACTTGTGCTGCACCTCAAAAATTTTGATAAGCTATAGTTTTAAATTTGGTACAAATATATCTTACTATTCTGGAAATAAATTCTTGACTCATGGGTTAGTCAAAGCTATGTTTTGTAATTTCCAAATATTTTCAAAATTTCTAGTTATCATTTTATTATTAATATCTAGTTTAATTCTGTGTGTTCTGAGAATGTTATGGGTTAAATTGGGCCTTCCCTCCAAAAAACATGTGGAAGACTTCAACCCAAGTGTCTCATAATGTGACCCTATTAATAAATAGAGTAATTACAGATGCATTTAATTAAATTAAAAGAAAGTCATATTGGAGTAGGGTAGGCCCCTAATCACATATGATTAGTATCCTTCTATGAAGATGACCATGAAAAGATTGTTAAAAGAAACACCTTAGCCAAATTAAATTTAACACAGTTTAATTGAACAAATGACAATTTACAAATCAGGCATCTTCCTGAAGCAGAGTAGGTTCATACAGACTCCAGTGAAGCCATGTGGTGGAAGATTTATGGAAAGAAAAAGGAAAGTAACATACAGGAAACATGAAACCAATCCATGTCCTGACCACCTTGGGCACATGTTTCAGGATCTCCTAGGCTGTGTCATGGGACATTAGTCACTCATATTTGGCTCGGAGCAAATGAATGTTTTATAGAATTCAACTCTTCTGTCAACATAGTACAAGCTTTACTTGATAAATGCTAGAGCTAAATTTTCTGTGTTTTTTTTATGTTCAATGAATGGTCAGTGTATTGGAAGATGTGGATATTGGCAAACTCTAGCAGTTGAAAATAGAGTCAAACTAGTTGGTCATAAAAAAGAAATGATAGTAAAGCAGAATTAATGTTTTTGGAAATATAGATAAGAAGGGAACAATAAAGTCAAAAAGATTAACTGATTCTCAGAGAGTTTTATCAAAGGTGGCAAAAAATAGATACTAAAGATAAATAAATTTAAGGTCAGGAATATAATGAAAATGTCCTTTAAACATTACATGTCAGGACTCAATGTCAAGATGAATTAAGAAACCTATGAAACTTATATTGTGTTAGTGTAAGAGACAATCGGAAGATAACTGCAGAAAATTGGTATCATATTGAGAAATTAAGTTTATAGAAGAATATCATAGATGTAAACAAGGCTAGGACATTTTATCAGAAAGCTCAATCATACTGTAAGTAAGCTAGGCAGGATACAAGTAAGTCAAGTTCAGGCCTGATGCATTGGTAAGTGTTAAAATACAATTGATAATCTTGGATCACAGACTTAATAAGTGTATAGATTACTGAGGACACAGATTTTTTTTTTTTTACACAAGAAGCACTTCTTTCTTACTTCCATTAATTATTGTGATGAGAGATTAGAGTCAGAGGTTGTGCTTTAGGTAGTGTGAGGGGAGATGCTGGTCAAAAACAAAAAGACATAGTCAAGCTGAAACCAGAACACTAGATGAGATTCAACTGTAAGGAATATGGGTATATTTATGTGCTAGTTGTGTGTGCATGTGTGTGTGGTGTATATCTATTTTGAAGGACAAAATGAAGAAGGATATTTAGAAATAAGGAGGCTTTGTTATATAATAGCTGGTGAAATTGACAAACTTAAGGCCATGGTAACTGAGTCACAGTGAGTGGCTGAGAGAATATCAATTTGTTTGCCAGAGCACTAGAGGGAAACCTAATCATTTAGATTTAAAGCTGTTAAAAACCTTAAAGCAGTAAAAGCAAGGATTCATGTGATCAGATTTGCATTTTCAAAAGATTACTGATGTTAAAAGAATTCCTCCTGGATGAATTTTCCATATATTAGGAGTTGAAAATGGCAGGAATTTCTAGAACAAAGGGTTTTTTAAAGTAAATCCAATATTCATTGACTTCTTGCATTTCAAAAGCTCACAGGGCAAAATTTTGAGAATTATAAAAAGAAAAAAATGGGATGGGAAAGAAAAGAAAATGAAAGAAAACGGGAAAACCTCAATATTCAGCCCAAACCACAGGCCTACATTTTTATCAGGAGGAAGATGAGCAATGCAACATTTATGCCAATTAACAGCTCTCATGAAATTACAATGAATAGGCAAATATCAGAGGAAAATTCAAAATCCGAGCCTCGTCTTGGAATTAATGTGGTGAAAAACATTATTTCTGAAGTCATTGAAATGCATAGAATTGCTTAAGGACTAGAAAATTCAAAGCTGAGGCTTATTTGTCCTCCTGGACCCTTGGAGCCTTTGAATTTGGAAGCAACAATAAGGGCTGTGCAAGTTCAGAAATTGATTAAAAGAGTTCCTCTCACTGAGAGAAATTAGTCACAATAGTAAAATCCGAAAGAGCCTTGTAATCTCATAAGTGATATAGAAAAGCACAATGAATTGTTGGGAAAATGACATCGTATGTAGTGCATCCAATAAACTTTGCTTAGAGAGTTTATCATTACAAGTAAAGAGCATGTAGTTTGCAAATGGAAGAGAAGAGGTTGTTCTTAGGCAGTTATAATTCAACCTTGGATGTCTATAAAAGCAATGGTACAAAGATAACTGTAGACTAACTTGTCTATTTTTTTCTTAAGTTTTAGATTATATGTGCAGGATGCGCAGGTTTGTTACATAGGTAAATGTGTGCCATGGTGGTTTGCTGCAGCTGTCATCCCATCACCTTAGTATTCAGCCCAGCATGCATTAGCTATTTTTCCTGATGCTCTTCTTTCTCCCTCAAGCCCTGCAGGCCCCAGTGTGTGTTGTTCCCCTCCCTTGTCCATGTGTTCTCACTGTTCAGCTCTAACCTATGAGTGAGAACATGCAGTACTTGGTTTTCTGTTTCTGCATTAGTTTGCTGAGAGTAATGGCTTCCAGCTTCATCCATGTCCCTGCAAAGGACATGATCTTGTTCCTTTTTATGGCTGCATAGTATTCCATGATGTATATGTACCACATTTTCTTTGTCCAGTCTATCATTGATGAGCATTTGGGTTGATTACATGCCTTTGCTATTGTGAGGAGTGCTGCCATGAACACAAGCATGCATGTATTTTTTTTTTATTATTATACTTTAAGTCCTAGGGTACATGTGCACAACGTGCAGGTTTGTTACATAGGTATACATGTACCATGTTGGTTTGCCGCACCCATCAACCTGTCGTTTACATTAGGTATTTCTCCTAATGCCACCCTCCCCCAGACCCCCACCCCCTGAAAGGCCCAGGTGTGTGATGTTCCCTGCCTTGTGTCCAAGTGTTCTCATTGTTCAATTCCCACCTACGAGTGAGAACATGCATGCATATATTATTATAATAGAATGATTTATATTCCTTTGGGTATATACCCAGTAATAGGATTGCTGAATCAAATGGTACTTCTGGCTCTAGGTCTTTGAGGAATTGCCATACTGTCTTCCACAATAATTGAACTAATTTACATTCCCCAAGACAGTGTAAAACCATTCCTATCTCTGTGCAGCCTCACCAGAATCTGTTGTTTCTTGACTTTTTAATAATTGCCTTCCGACTGGTATGAGATAGTATCTCATTGTGGTTTTGATTTGCATTTCTATAATAATTGGTGATGATAATCTTTTTGTTGGCTTCACAAATGTCTCTTGAGAAGTGTCTGTTCATTTTCTTTGCCCAATTTTTAATGAGGTTGTTTGTTTTTTACTTGTAAATTTGTTTAAGTTTCTTGTAGATTTTGATTGTTAGACCTTTGTCAGATGGATAGGTTATAAAACTTCTCTTCCATTCTGTAGGTTGTCTGTTCTCTCTGATGATAATTTCTTTTGCTATGCAAAAGTTCTTTAGTTTAAATAGATCCCATTTGTCAATTTTTGCTTTTGTTGCAATTGCTCTTGATGTTTTTGTCATAAAATCTTTTTCTGTGTCTATGTCCTGAATGGTATGGCCTAGATTTTCTTCTAGAATTTTTATAGCTTTGATTTTTCATTTAAGGATTGAATCTATCTTGAGTTAATTTTTGTATAAGTTGTAAGGAAGATATTCAGTTTCAATAAGGAAGATGTTCAGTTTCAATTTTCTTCATATGGCTAGCCAGTTCTCCCAGTACCATTTATTAAATAGGGAATCCTTTCCCCATGGCTAGTTTTTGTCAGGTTTGTCAAAGATCAGGTAGTGGTAGATGTGCGGTTTTATTTCTGAGTTCCCTATTCTGTTCCATTGGTCTATGTGTCTGTTTTTGTATCAGTATCATGCTTTCTTTGGTTACTGTAGCTTTCACTCGCATCCATGTGAAGAGACCACCAAACAGGCTTTGTGTGAGCAACAAGGCTGTTTATTTCACCTGGGTGCAGGCGGGCTGAGTCCGAAAAGAGAGTCAGTGAAGGGAGATGGGGTGGGGCCGTTTTATAAGATTTGGGTAGGTAAAGGAAAATTACAGTCAAAAGGGGTTTGTTGTTCTCTGGCGGGCAGGAGTGGGGGTCACAAGGTGCTCAGTGGGGGAGTTTTTTTGAGCCAGGATGAGCCAGGAAAATGAATTTCTCAAGGTAATGTCATCAGTTAAGGCAAGGACCGACCATTTTCACTTCTTTTGTGGTGGAATGTCATCAGTTAAGGCAGGAACAGGCCATTTAAATATCACTTCTTTTGTGATTCTTCAGTTACTTCAGGCCATCTGGATGTATACGTGCAGGTCACAGGGGATATGATGGCTTAGCTTGGGCTCAGAGGCCTGACAGTAGCTTTGTATTATAGTTTGAAGTTGGGTGGCATGGTGCCTCCAGCTTTGTTCTTTTTGCTTAGGATTGTCTTAGCTATGCGGGCTCTTTTTTGGTTCATATGAATTTTAAAGTAGATTTTTCTAATTCTGTGAAGAATGTCAATGGTAGTTTAATGGAAATAGCATTGAATCTACAAATTACTTTTGGCAGTATGGCCATTTTCATGATATTAACTCTTTCTAACTATAAACATGGAATGTTTTTGCATTTGTTTATGACTTCTGATTTTCTTGAGCAGTGGTTTGTGCTTCTCCTTGAAGAGGTCTTTCGCCTCCCTTGTTAGATGGATTCCTAGGTATTTCATTCTCTTTGTAACAATTGTGAATGGGAGTTCATTCATGATTTTGCTCTCTGCTTTTCTGTTGTTGCATAGGAATGCTTGTGATTTTGCCATTGATTTTGTATCCTGAGACTTTGCTGAAGTTGCTTATCAGCTTAAAAAGCTTTTGAACTGAGACACTGGGGTTTTCCAGATATAGAATCATGTCATCTGCAAATAGAGACAGTTTGACTCCCTCTTTTTCTCTTTGAATACCTTCTATTTCTTTCTCTTGCCTGATTGTCCTGGCCAGAACTTGTGATACTATGTGGAATAGGAGTGGGGAGAGAGGACATCCTTTTCTTTTGCTGGTTTTCAAGGAGAATGCTTCCAGCTTTTGCTGGTTCAGTGTGATATTGGCTGTGGGTTTTTCAAAAATGGCTCTTATTCTTTTGAGTTATGTTCCACTAATACCTAGTTTATTGAGGGTTTTTAACATAAAGAGATGTTGAATTTCATTGAAGGCCTTTTCTGCATCTATTAAAATAATCACGTAGGTTTTGTCTTTAGTTCTCTTTACGTAATGAATTACGTTTATTGCATTGTATATGTTGAACTAGCCTCGCATCCCAGGGATGAAGCTGTCTTGATGAAGCTGACTTCATCATGGTGGATAAGCTTTTTAATGTGCTGCAGGATTTGATTTGCCAGTATTTTATTGAGGATTTTTGCATTGATGTTCATCAAGGATATTGGCATTACATTTTCTTTTTTTGTTGTATCTCTGCCAGGTTTTGGTATCAGGATGATGCTGGCCCCACAAAATGAGTTAGGGAGGCGTCTTTCCTTTTCAAATGTTTGGAATAGTTTCAGAAGAATGGGTACCAGCTCCTCTTTGTACCTCCAGTAGAATTCAGCTATAAATCCATCTGTTCCTTGGATTTGTTTCATTAGTAGGCTATTTATTACTGCATCAATTTCCAAACTTGTTGTTATTGGTCTATTCAGGAATTCAACTTCTTCTTGGTTTAGTCTTGGGAGGGTGTTTGTGTCCAGGAATTTATCTATTTCTTCTAGATTTTCTACTTTCTTTGCATAAAGGTGTTTATAGTATTCTCTGATGGTTGTTTGTATTTCTGTGGGGTCAGTAATGATATCCCCTTTATCATTTTTATTGTGTCTATTTGATTCTTCTCTCTTTTCTTCTTTATTAATCTAGCTAGCAGTCTATTTTGTAAATTTTCCTTTTAAAAAATGTCCTGGATTTATTGATTTTTTTGAAGGGTATTTTGTATCTCTATCTTCTTCATTTCCACTCTGATCTTGGTTATTTCTCGTCTTCTTCTAGCTTTGGAGTTTGTTTTCTCTTGATTCTCTAGTTCTTATAGTTGTGATGTTAGTATGTCAATTTGAGATCTTTCTAGCTTTTTGTTGCCCACATTTAGTGCTCACACAGAATCGATACAGAGAAAGGCCTCTCCTTTGGAAGCAGGCAGTAGATCTTGTCTCCCAGCTTTTCCATCTAGTAAAGGGATGGCCTTGGGTAAATTACTTAATTCCTCAGTGCCTTATGTATTCACATATATAATATGAGGGAAACAACTTAACTAGCTAATTAGACCCTGCTTTCAAATTTTTTGTGTTGGAGAGAGTTGAAGTAAGATTGATGAATCATATGATATTTATAATTATTTGAGGAACTGTCATACTCTTTTCCGAACTGGTTACACTGTTTTTTTAATTCCTGGGTTTCAACTTACACATTCCTGCCAATGCTTATTACTTTCTTTCCTTTTGTATTTTTGATTGTAGCCATTGTAATGGGTGTGAAATATCTTATTGTGGTTTGGATTTGCATTCCTCTGATTAGTGATGCTGCATATCTTGTTAAGTACTTTTTGGTGATTTGTATATCATTTTTGGAAACAGTTATTTAAGTTATTTTCCACTTTCAAATTAAGTGATTTTATTCTGGTTTTGAGTTGTGAAAGGTCTTTATGTATTCTGGATATTAATTCATTTTTGGGTATAGGATTTGCAAATTATTTCACAGGTTCCATTTTCAATCTACTGATCATGTCCTTTGATACATAAAAGTTTTAAAGTTTGATATGGTCCCATTTGTGTATTTTTGTTTTTATTGCCTGTATTCTTGATGTCATAGCCAAGAAATCATTGTCAAACCTGCCGTCATGAAGAGTTTCTCCTATATGTTCTTCTAGGACTTCTATAGTGTAGGATGTTAACATTGAGCTGTTTAATTCACTTTGAGCTCATTTTTGTATGTGGCATAAGGGTCCAGATGTATTATTTTACATGTGGATATACAGTTTTCCTTATACCATTTATCATAAAAACTGTCCTTTCCCCATTGAGTTGTCTTTGCACCTTTCTTGAAAATCATTTCAATGTATATAAGAGGGTTGATTTTTCGGCTGTCTGTACTGTTCCACTGGGCTACATGTCTGTCTAATGTCAGTACCACAGTGTTTGAATTATCATAGCTTTGTAAAACATTTTGAAATAAAGAAGTATGAGTCCTCTAGTTTTGTCATTTGTCAAGAGTATTTAAGCTACCAAGGGTCCTTTAAGAATCCATATGTATTTTTATATGATTATTTCTATTTCTGCAAAAAATACTACCGGGATTTTTATTGGAATTGCATTAAATCGAAAGATAGTTTTGGGTAATATTGACATCTTAAAAATTAAGGCTTCCAGGCTGGGTGTGGTGGCTCATGCCTGTAATCCCAGCACTTTGGGAGGCTGAGGTAGGCGGATCATGAAGTTAAGAGATTGAGACCATCCTGGCCAACATGGTGAAACTCTGTCTCTACTAAAAATACAAAAAAAATTAGCTGGGCGTGGTGGCACGCGCCTGTAGTCCCAGCTACTCGGGAGGCTGAGGCAGGAGAATCTCTTGAACCCGGGAGGTGGAAGTTGCAGTGAGCTGAGATCGCACCACTGCACTCCAGCCTGGCAACAGAGCAAGACTGTGTCTAAAAAAAAAAAAAAAAAATTAAGGCTTCCAATCCATAAACATGAGATAACATCCCATTTATTTGTGACTTATATAATTTATTTCAGCAATACTTTCTAATTTGTAGTGTATAAGTCTTTTGCCTTCTTAGGTTTAATCTTAAGCATTTTTTATATTGTTTTAAATGGAATTATCTTTTTACTTTTATATTCTCATTGTTCATTGTTATTCTATAGAAATGCAACTTATTTTAACGTATTGATTATGTGTTTTGCAACTCTGCTGATTTTATTTATTAGCTCTAACAGATTTGTTAACTCTCCCTCCGTCCCCCAGGCTGGAGTGCAGTGGTGCGATCTCAGCTCACTGCAAGCTGCGCCTCCCGGGTTCACGCCATTCTCCTGCCTCAGCCTCCCGAGTAGTTGGAACTACAGGCGCCCGCCACCACGCCCGGCTAATTTTTTGTATGTTTCTTAGAAACGGGGTTTCACCGTGTTAGCCAGGATGGTCTCGATCTCCTGATGTCGTGATCCGCCCGTCTTAGCCTCCCAAAGTGCTGGGATTACAGGCGTGAGCCACTGCGCCTGGCGCACAGATTTGTTTTTATATAATATTTAAGGTTTTCTACATACAAGTTCATGTCATCAGTGAACAGGTAAAAGTACTTTTTTCTTCCAAACGTGGATGCCTTGTATTTCACTTGCATAACTGCTCTGTCTAGGCCTTCCAATAATGTGTTAAACAAAAGTGATGTTGGTGAGCATACTTGTCTTCTTCCTATTTTAGAGGAAAAGATTTCATTAATTCACCATTAAGTGTGATGCTAACTGTGGGCTTTTCATATATGGTCTTTATTATATTGAGATAATTTTCTTCTATTCATGTTCTGTTGTATGATTTTTATCATGAAAGAGCATTGTATTCTTCCATATAATTTTTATAATGAAAGGGCATTGAATATTGTTGAACAGTTTCTCTGCAAAAGTTGACATGATCGTAGGGTTTTGTCTTTTATTCTGCAAATGTGGTGTACTACATTGACTGCTTTTTATAAGTTGAACCATCCTTGTATCCCAGGAATACATTTTACTTGTTTGTGGTGTTTAATTCTTTTAATGTGTTGTTGAATTAAGCCTGTTAGCATTTTCTGAGAGCTTTGGTATTAATATTCATCATGGATATTAGTTATTAATTTTATTTTCTTGCAATGTCTTTGGCGTTGGTATCAGGGTAATTCTGGCTTTATAAAATTAGCTCAGAAGTTTTCCCTACTTTTCAATTTTTTGAAAGAGTTTCAAGAGGATTGATGTTAATTCTTTAAATGTTTGGTAACATTCTTTAATGAAGTTATCTGGTTTGGGGTTTTTATTTGTTGGGAGCTTTTCATTAATTATTTAGTTTACTTACCAGTTATTAAACTGTTCATATATCTTATTTCTTCATGATTCAAAGTAATTTAGCTATTTCTTCTAGATTATTCAATTTGTTAGCATATTTAATATTATTTTAATTCTTTTATTTTGTGGTATTGATTGTAATATACATTTGTTTATTTCTGATTTTAATTATTTGAATCCTCTCTCTTTTTTCTTAGTAACACTATGTAAGGGTAGTATGTGAATTTCATTGTTGTTTTCAAAAAATCAATTCTTAGCTCTATTGATATTTTTCTATTGCTCTTCAAAAATCATATATTTAATCACAGCTAAGCCAGCTATACTGCTAGGCAAGACACTGACATTTATGAGAGCATATTAAGGTGTAACCTATTTTTTTCTCTTAATAAATAAGGGAATTAGGAAAAATTCAAAAACTTTCAAGACATATTATGACTAATACATTTAATTTTCTTCATTTTTCTCTATTTTTTTCTCTATTTTTGATAAATGATCAACTTTATTCCAGAAACATAGCCTTTATGGATATATTTAGAAGATATTTTATGTTTTCCAACAGATACAATTAAACTCAAGTTTTACTTCCCTTAGATGTGACTGACATTTAACTACCTACTTGATTGAATATAACACTTTATTTCATGACCATCAGAGGTTACTCTTTAAGCAGAATTCTTGGGAGTTAGACTTCCAAACATTTTTGCCCTGTTCACCTACTGAGACACAAATGAAGGCAACAGCTCACAAGGAATATTCACTTCCTAGAATGATATTAATCAATAAATATTGCCAAAGATCTATAAATGGATTTTGTTCATCATCTGTTTTGTCCATTCAGTATACCATACATCCTGCAACGCCATATCCACTTGGCTTTTTTGACAAGACGTTTTTCTAATCCTCCTCATAATTTTAGACTATGCTTTTGAGTACCAAACTTCCTCATATTGCCCAATAAATGCTGAAATTCAAAAGGCCCTTCTTAGCCTTTTTCATGTTACCACCGTGTGTGTGTGTGTATGTGTGTGTGTGTGTGTGCACGTGTGTGTGCATGTGTGTCTTTTATTCCTTAAGTTATCTTAGCCCACAGTTTCAATTAATACCTATAAAAAGAGACAAGAGACTTTACAAGCTTACAAATCTCACTGTGACCACTTTACTCTCTCCCCCGGGCTCCAGAGATGTAGATTAAACTTTCTGTGTATTACCTGGAGTGTTGTAAAGGACTGTAAGCCAAAACATAAGAACTCACTGATGTAGCTACTTAAGGAGTTGCCAAAACTACCAAACTTCAAGAAGTAGCCATTGTCTCTTGTCTGCATCATTATATTGCACTGTATACCTTGTGCTGCCTATTAAGTACTTTAGGAGTAAACACAAGTAAAAGCATTTTAGAAGTGTTAAAGTCATTTCACCTATTTTAGATTAGCATTAATGAGGAGCAGGGATAAATAATGACAAGATGAATAGAGAAAAGAAAATAAATAACAAGGACTGAAAAATATTAGTTATGTCTAGTGTTAGTTTAAGCCAGGGGAAGCTTCAGTGCATTTTAGAGTGCATATGGGATTATTTAAACTTTAGTTCAAATTTTAGTATAACATAATTCAGTAGTCAAATCAGTAATATTAATTATACTTAAGTAGTTAATTAAAAACAAACAAACATTAACGTAAGAGTTAGAAAGATCATGTTCAAGTAATTTTTCAATTAATTGTATAAGAAAGTTCCATAGGCCGGGCGCGGTGGCTCACGCCTGTAATCCCAGCACTTTGGGAGGCCGAGGCGGGTGGATCATGAGGTCAGGAGATCGAGACCATCCTGGCTAACAAGGTGAAACCCCGTCTCTACTAAAAATACAAAAAATTAGCCGGGCGCGGTGGCGGGCGCCTGTAGTCCCAGCTACTCGGGAGGCTGAGGCAGGAGAATGGCGTGAACCCGGGAAGCGGAGCTTGCAGTGAGCCGAGATTGCGCCACTGCAGTCTGCAGTCCGACCTGGGCGACAGAGCGAGACTCCGTCTCAAAAAAAAAAAAAAAAAGAAAGTTCCATAGACAGGTAGATAGGTAATTTAATTTCTCTGACGTTCACTGTTAATATCAGGTAAAATGAAGTAAAATGTAATAAATTGGATTAAGTGATTAGATAAGATAGAAAATGTATAAATGAGCAGAAATCCTTTAATTATATGAATATATGAGTTTATCACTATTTTGGAATGTTTGACATATTCCTAAAGAATAAATAACCTCTTCATTGTATTGCTTGTTATCACTTTGGTTGGTATCATGGAAATGAGGATATTTCATTTTTTATTCAAAAATCCTGGGAAGGAATAAAATTTGATATTAATATAAATTTTATTTTTAAAACTATGAAAAATCTTTCTCTTAATGCATTTCATTATTATGTATGAGTTATACAGTCTGGTTATGTAAGAACAAAATGTGTCAAGGATTATGCAAAATATTTAATATAATTTATTTTAATAAACTTTAAACTCTAATAAAAAAGTTTTTATTATATATATAGCTTTTATTAATGAGCAATTGACTCCATCATACAAGGAACTTAAACAAATTTACAAGAAAAAAATAAACATCCCCATCACAAAGTGGGAGAAGGATATATACAGACACTTCTCAAAAGAAGACCTTTATGAGGCCAACAAACATGAAAAAAAGCTCATCATCACTGGTCATTAGAGAAATGCAAATCAAAACCACAAAGAGATACTATCTCATGCCAGTTAGAATGGTGATCATTAAAAAGTCAGGAGACAACAGATGCTGGAGAGGATGTGGAGAAATGGGAATGCTTTTACACTGTTGGTGGGAGTGTAATTTGTGTAAATTTGTTCAACCATTGTGGAAGACAGTGTGACGATTCCTCAAGAATCTGGAACCAGAAATACTTGACCCAGCAATCCCATTACTGGGTATATACCCAAAGGATTATAACTCATTCTACTATAAAGACACATGCACAAAGCAAAGACTTGGAACCAACCCAAATGCCCATCAATGATAGACTGGATAATGAAAAAGTGGCACATATACACCATGGAATACTATGCAGCGATAAAAAAAGAATGATATCATGCCCTTTGCAAGGACATGAATGAAGCTGGAAGCCATCATTCTTAGCAAAATAACACAGGAACAGAAAACCAAACACTGCATGTTCTCTCTCATAAGTGGGTGGTGAACTATGAGAACACATGGGCACAGGGAGGGGAACATCATACACCGGGGCCTGTCGGGGAGTGGGGGGCAAGGGGAGGGATAGCATTAGGAGAAATACCTTATGTAGATGATGCGTTGACGGGTGCAGCAAACCACCATGGCACATGTATCCCTATGTAACAAACCTGCCAGTTCTGCACATGTATCCCAGAACTTAAAGTATATATATATTAAAAAAAAATCTAAAGCAGCCCGATATTTAGATTCATTTGACTGATGCAGACTGATTTAGACTTATTTAATCAATTCCATTTAATGATTAATTGCATATATTCCATATAATGAAAGACACTAGATTGAATATAACCTTCGGTATGTTTGTGATGCCTTCTTTCAACCTTGTGCCTTCTTCTTTGAATCTCATTCCTCTGATGTCTGAATAGATTCCTCTTTTTCATGTAATCTTACATATATTTATTGTACATGCTACTTGCCTTTTAAAAATTAATTACTGTTAACATATATATTCTACATAGAGTTTTGTTATTGTTTTACACATAACTTTTTTGAAAAATTATCCATATTTAACATCCCTTTGAATGTGAACAGTGAATAATTAACACAATGTTTTTTTTTTTTTTTTGGTGGTGAGAGGGAATAAATTAGGTACTCAATTGCATACCAGAGAGGTACATATTTCCTTTGAATTTAGCTAGGCTTGGGCAGGTGGGTAGAGAGACTAATGTTTTTCTCTAAGTGTGCCATTTATCAACCACCACAGTGGCTCAAAGCAATTTTGTTCTCTCTTCATGTCTCAGGGGTCCCAATATAGATTTTCATTTTGCCAGCTGGAATAAGCCTGAAAACTCTACCTGATGCTTGGTCCTGATCAGCTGCTGGTCTTCATTGACTGAGCAAGTAATCATTTTACTGCCACTAAGATGGAGAGGTGACCTATCTTATGAGTGACCTTGTAATTCATTTCCTCTTTGTATGACACTAATCTGTCCTGTTGAAGGACAACAGAAATTGCCTGGGTTAAATAATGAGAAGCCTGGGTCACTGGCCACATCTTCAGATGAAATCCACAGTTTGTAGGTGAGGATAAAATATATACAGAGCTTCTTCTAAGTAGAATTCTACAAAAGACCATGCACACACACACACACACACACACACACACATCTCTATCAGAATTCTTGAGAAGCCCCATATATATCTTATTCTCACTTCATATACACTTTATTCTCTCACACCGTTTTTTATTTGGAACTGTGGCCAGTGACACAGACTTTTCATTATTTAGTCCAAACAGCTTCTTTTGTTCTTAAATAGTATGGATTAGTGTGAATTAAGAGCAAATTTATTACAGGGTCACTCTTATGATAGGTTACTTCTCCATTTTAGTACAGCGTGTGTGTGTGTGTGTGTGTGTGTATGTATAGTCATCAAAATTCTGCTTTGGTGAAGCTCCATATATATTCGTGGATTTCATCAAGGGAAATAATTTTGTGTATGTTTGTTGTTTTCTTGATTACTTATGCTACAATGTCATTTTTTAGTGTTTATTAACAATAAGAATACCTTTATGCATTACTTGATTGGATAAGTCCCCTTTGGTAAACTATCTCTAATATTTTACATGCAGATATATTTAGTTGACTTTACCAAAGAAATACTTTTTAGGATTTGTTTTGTGCACATCAATATGACAGATAATGGAAATGCAAGGATGAATACACACCAGGCTTTATTTTTTATTAAAAGATCTAAAGTACCCTGGCATCAAAAGTGAAAACATGGATGTGCTGAACAATTAAATAAATTACGCAATTATATTTTTTCAATCATTTAAATTAAAATAATTTATATCAAAATTTAAAGTGGCAACCCTTAAAGTGTTACTTCTGCAAAGAGCTTTTAATTTATTTTTTCTTAAAACATACATCTGTTTTATTTATATATTACTTCATAGCAAACTATCCTATAACTTAATGGCATACAAAAGGAGAAATTTTAACATGTTCATAGATTTTGAAAGGAATTCAGAAAGAACACAGTTAGGATGGCTTGTCTGGGTCCCCAGATGTCTGGGAGATCAGCTGTGAATATATAAACACCTACAGCGGGAAGAGCTGGAGCTAGAAATTTCATTTCAATCTTGGCTTCTTCCACTCATGTGTCAGGTTCTTGGGCTCAGCTTGTCTGTCTCTGTGTTGTACAGGAACACCTAAATGGTGATATTACATCAACATCATTAAGTACATCTTTAGAATTTATGTAATAGAATTTGAATGCAAGATGTATAGTGACTCATTCATCTCCTGTAGTTACAACTAGCTGAGAAATGGACAAAGTAATCACATGAAAATATTAGTTTTATGATGCTAAAATTGGATTGTAGGAAGTGGTCTAGATATGAAGCCACCATGGTCTTTATACTCCCTGCAATATTAAAATTACTCGCTCAGTCACAGAGAGCAAGACCTTCTCCTTATAGACCTCCTCAGTCGAGTAGAGTTTGGTGAATAAACCAGAAGCCCTCTCCCTCTGAACAGGAACATCCCAGAGAAGGAACACAAGAATCTGAGCCAGCGATGCTTGTTTCCTTCTTTCTAATGCAGAAAGAACTAAAACTCATAAAGATGCTGGAATCTAGTAAGTTCCCATGTAAAAACAAAGAATAAAAAACACGAGGTGTCTCTCAACAGTGTGAAATACACTGAGCAAATCATGTTGCTTTATGATATTTGAAGACTAGAATATTTGTAAGACTAGATAAAGGGATAGATAATTTGGAACAAATTTTCTCTGAAAATTACGGGTTTTCCTCTGATTAGTTTATTACATATGATTGATTATTATATTTTCAGATTAAAAGAACTATTTGCTTATAGTACAAGCCTAAAATTTGAAAAACATAATTTCTGTTTTTGCCTTTAAGCAAAAGAATGATACATTGAATGATTACCATTTACTGAACACCAAATCATATTATAAATGCTATGCTAGACAAAGGCAATTAGAACAAAATAGAAACACACACACACACACACACACACACACACACACACAACTATGAGGGACTAAGGAAGAGCTTTACTAGAATAAAGGCCAAGAGCGAATCTGAAAACAAATCAGTGTTCAGATATTTACTGTGGCCTTAAATGTTGGTACTCACCCCAGTTAATCCAAGAGAAGAACACTATGTTTATATGGTACATATACACCATGGAATACTATACAGCCTTTAAAAGGAATGAGATCATGTCCTTTGCAGGGACATGGATGGCGCTGGAAGCTATTATTCTCAG